>NC_000004.12:117103199-117254714 GCF_000001405.40 Homo sapiens
AGAGTATAACTCTCCACTCCTTAAGGAGTGTGGGCTACACAAGTGACTTCCTTTAAAAAAAAAATACTGAATGAAAAGAGGAGTGAAGAGTAACTTTTCATTGAAGAAATGTGGCAAAAACTCCCTCAGCCTCTGGATCAAGCTGAACATCATCACTGATAAGTCATGTGGATATGTACCCTTGTAATGGTGTGAGGAAATTACAATTTACCTCTGAGGTTTTCCTTCCCAAAATCCACAATCCCCCATCTAATCTTAGAAAAATATCAGACAAATATAAACAGAGGGACATTCTACATAAAAACTGGCTAGTATTTCTAAAAACACTTGTTGGAGCTCAGAAAATAATACTGCAAAATGAAAGTCTCAGAGGCAGCCTCAGAAGCAAGTTTCTCCCTAATCTTCTCCTGACCTCCACATTCTTTCCTGAGGCAAACTATAGAAACTAGAGTCTCTTTTCCCCAAGACAAGAGTCCATAACCCATTTCCCCAAAGCAAGCCAGAAACCCTAAAAATATTACTCTGACTTTGCCCCTCTTTTCTGCATAAAAATTGACCATAAATAAATTATCTGACCTATCTCATTTGATTGTAGGTCATAAAACCCCAATTTCAGAGAGGGTCCTGCCTCATACCCAGCAGGAAGGAATGCTGCACAGAGAGGCAAAGAAGACTCTAAACAGAGAAGCCTTGCTGTGCTTCGTCACTCAGTCTGTTAGCATTAGACCATATACTTTTTGTTCAATCATATTTCTACAGGTCCATTCATACTTTGTTGAACTTAAGCATAAAATGAGCATTTTCTGCTGTATCTTTGGATCTTCATTTTGAAGGCTCCCATGTCATGTAGAACTATGGTCAATTAAATTTGTTATACTTGTTTCTTGGTAACCTTTCTTTGTTATAGAGGTGTCAGCTGTGACCCTTATGATAGGGAGGAAAGGAATCAACCCCCTTTTACCCTGAGGCTGTCAAGCAATGGAAGCCTGAGAAACATTCACAGCTCAGAGGGGTCTAAGGAAACATAATGACTACAAATAATCTGGTATTATAGATAGAACTAAAATATGGATGTTAGACAAAAATGTAAAGAAATCTAAGTAAAGTACTGACTTCAGTTCATAATATTGTATCACTGTTGACTTGTTAGTTGTGACTAATGTAACATAGGAATGTAAGATATTAACAGTAGGGTAAACTAGATGTGGAATATTCTGGCTGTCTCTGTACTCTTCCAGAAACTTTTGTGTAAACGTAAAAATATTCTTAAATAATAGAGTTTATTTAAAAAGAGTGGTAATGTTGACTCAAATGTTTATGTTTGGAATTTTACCTGTGTGAAACATGGATAAAAAAAATGATTAGTGGAAACTTGTGGCTGGGGAACCAGTTGCCTTTTTGGAAGAGAGAAGAGAACAGTGAACGTTAGAGACTGTTGTCGAAAAGCATGTATTAGCTTTCATTTTTATTGTATTATTATCGCTATTTGATATCATCTCGGAATCCTGAATCTGTTAGTGAAACTGCAGGAATAAAATTTTATTATTTTACCGTGGTGTTAGAAGTTTTTATCTGTTGAATCTTTTAGCGGTGAATTCAGGTGTTATAATATACAAACATACTTTGATAGTATTGCGCTAAAAATAAGAATACTAACCATTTGAAACTGTGGTGATTTTGCCTAGTCAGATATGATTAGTGTGCACTCTGCTGTCCTCTGCTCCTAGCTTCCCTAATTGGATAGCAGCCTCTGGTATGCCACATGACACAATGTGCAGAAACCTAAAAGTGACTTTTTTTCATATTTGTCCTTTTCATAGTAAACTGAAATAGTAGGAAATAAAGTATTTTTGTTTACTGTAAGTTTGGTTTGAAGTTACAGTATTTATACTTGCAAACTATAGAATGTAAGCTGATTCTACTCTGTGGCCTATTTTTTACAGCCTTTATGTTAAAAATGTTTATTACAGTAGTGTTGCCCCCAAATTCATATCTATATGATAGCTATTTATATGACCTTATTTGACAATAGAGTCTTTGCACATGGAATTATCAAGTTAAAATGAGGACACACTGGATTGGCATAGGCTCTAAATCCAATCACTGGTCACTTCTTCTGACACAGATGCATGGAGTCATGGGAGAAGTCCATGTGAAGAAGAAGCAGAGATTGGAATGATGTATTTACAAGCCAAGGAATGACAATTGCCAGCAGCCACCAGAAGCAAGAGGCAAGGAAGTGTTCTTCCCTAGAGCTTTGGGAAAGAGCATGCCCAGTCGACACCTCGATTTGGACTTTAGCCTCAAGAGTATGAGAACAGATTTATATTGTTTTAAGTCACCCAGTTTGTGGCAATTTGTTACAGAAGCCCTAAGAAACTAATAAATACATACTTTAAAAGTTTATAAAAAACAAAGAAAATGTGAAAGATATCACATGTGGCCCACAAAGCCTACAATACTTACTGAGTTATCCCTTTAAGAAAAATGTGTCCACCCTTGCTTTAGAGCCTTGCCTTAACAATTTTAATGTTTGGATGTAGAGTAGCCTTGAATCTAGTGATAATTTGTCCCTATTGCTGAGGTTTGCAACTTCTTGAATCTTCCTTCAATGCCCCAGGTGATGAATTAGCACTCTCTGCTCTAGTTGGGTAAGTATCTCTCCTGACACCTTGTGAGATCTTTGCACTGCCTTATGGAGTCTTGCCTGACACACATATGGCTTAGCATTCAGCTGACTCAGTAGGGATCCCTGTTCATTTTTTCACCATTGCATCTTTCTCTCCGGAGCTCTGCCTTGCAACTTATAGCCACCTCAGCCTCCCTGAATTCTAATCTCCTCAACTGGGGGATCACCATGCAGATCACTGTGTTGTGTTGGGGATTCTCACCTCTGCTCCCTAACTCTGGAGTGTGTCATCCAGCAGGGTAAGAGAAGGCTTACAGAAGTCTTGTGCCGCTTGTTGTCCAAGGTCTGCAAATATTTTTCTCACATAATTTTTCCAGCATTCTAGTTGCAAATAGCAGAAATGTAAGTCCTGGCTCTGTTACTCTAACATGGTTAGAAATGGAAGCCCTTTATCTTTTATTTTTATTCTTATAAATGTTGACCAGTACGTTTAAGTGTAATAAGAAGAATTAAGCATATGATTCACATCCTAAACCTAGAATGTTATAGGACTTCTTCCTTGTCTAATGCCAGAAGTGCCCATTTTTAATTATGTGGAAGTCATTCACAACCTGATCCCAAGTTCCTGTATAAGATAAAAGCTGACTTTCTAGGGAATGCCTTAAACCTGACTATTGAAACCAACTTTCATAACAGCTCACAGGTGCTAATGGCTAAGTCTTCCATCCACATACAAACTGATATGTAATATTTAAACTCAAAAATACTTGATCAACATTATGTTTTTGCTTGTTTGCTTCTTTGACACCTTAGGATATTTAAAAACAAAAATATCTTGTTTTCTACATGCTCAAATTGCTGATATTTGAACACAGTTCCAAATTAGCCTAATCAGTGGAGTGTATAAATGGATTTAGGGAGTTATGTGCAGTTATTCAGGTCCCCAAAACAAATTGATTATTAAAATACCAAAATCCTTTCATAATATTACTTTAGCTTCTGGAGGTCTTACTATACCAGTCTGCTTCTCTGTAGAACTATAAATGACTTCTTGCCATTCAAGGAAGGAATTTAAAAATAAGCAATGTAATACTTACTAAATAAATAGAAAAGAGAAATCTAACAGTTCTTGAACTATGTTGCATAACCTTGCATGAATGATTATATTTACAAGATATATATATATATATCTTGTATATAAGATATACAAAGTTTATATATATATATCTTGTATATATAAGATATACAAGATATATATATCTTATATATGTAAGATATACAAAGCTTATCTTCACAACTATATTATCATAAATTATCAAGTTTCTCAGGGAAACACAATTTTCTCCAATTTTTCTTCTTAAAATAAAGGTTTAAATTTTCTCATAGCATTATTTTATACTTTTTAAGACCCTGGAAAAATAAAAAGCAGAAATATGTATTTTTATTTTAAGTTTTAAATGCATCTACAGTTAATCTTCAGTGTAGCTCCTTATTGTCTCTGCCCCTCTCCATCTCTCTCTCTCTAGCTCACTCTCTCTCCAGACATATGCTCCCAACACACACTCAAAACATTATGTCTCAAAGAAAGCAGATAAGAATAGCTAACATGTAATGACAAGTAACTATATACCAGAAAATGACTTAATTTCCTTACAAATCTCATTTTATTTAAGACTCAAATAATCATCACTCTTATTCCCATGGAAAAAGTAATTAAGCTTTGGGAAGTTTTCCATTTTAGTAAAGGCAAGCTGAATCAGCATTTGAAGACAGCTCCATATTCTCATATGCAGTATTTTATTATATAATTGTTTGGAATTCAAGAAGAGTTTAGTGGCTAACATATTTGCTCTTCAAGACTGCAAGATGGTTCGTCTGACATGTTTTTATTTTCATGCATTTAGGTTTCCCTATTTTCTTTTTTTTTTTTGTTAAGCTGTTGCATTCTATTAAACATCATACAGTTTTCTTTGTGGATAACCTGTTTCTGATTATATCCTTAGAACAAATTACTAAATTTTTAGAAATCGTGTAAGGAATTATGGTACAGTGCCATAGCGTCTTCCAATTTCTAAATCCTTCTTAATGGTGCATCTAACTGGAAATATTTTACTATGTTTAAAATGTGAGTCAGGGACAAACATGCATTCTATTAATAGCTTTTTGTGTTTTCCTGTAAGCTTACTTTAAATTTTCATGTTATTATTAATTAAAATTGTGTATACCATTTAAAATTTAGGAAAGAGACTCCATGGCAGATATAATGATGCAGAATCTCCTTGGGTAGAACTTAAGTATCTAAGAAAAAATAAATTCCTGGGTAATTGTGATGTACATGAAAGTTGAAGATCTACTGATTCATGCTGATGCCCCAATGCCTTAATTGGACTCCATCCACTTTCAATAGATGTAAAACACAATGATTTGATATAACTTGCAAACACTTTCTGTATGCCTTGTATTCATCAGGGTGATTCTACTTATTTTCCGGTTCAAGCAAATGCTCCCTTGTCAATTTAGATACATTGAATTAACTTAAGCTCAATAATGACAGTAAGGTAATTACACAAACATCACAATTCCAACTAGTGCCAATGTGAAAATACTGCAGTTGAAGATGTTTGCTATTAATCTTATACTTTTGTGAATGCTATATTATTTATCAATAACAACTGAAGAATAAAGCGAAGTCATAAAAAATAGAAAAATTGTTAGTAGTTCATACAACGATTCACGCTAAATAAAATATGAATTCCAAAGATTGCTTAGGACATTTTCAAATGAAAGCTAGGCAAAAGGATTATATATGTTCAAACCAGAATAGCTAGTGTTTACACAAGATGGGTATTTATTTTTAAAAATAATAGTATTAATAACATATATAAAACATGATATTTATTTATGCAAACTGTATGTACAGAATTGTGCAATCATCACCACAAATAATTTTAAAACATTTCCATTACCCCCCAAAAGAAGTCTTTTGCCCATCTGCAGTTATCATTCCCACCTCACCCTCAAACCGTGTATCTATGTTATGTCTTTATTGAATTGGCTTTTCAGAAAATTTCTTAAAAATGAAATCATAAAACATGTATTATTTTTTGCCTGGCTTATTTCACTATTTATGTTTTTTAGTTCAGCTATGTTGTAGCTTCTATTAATACTTCATTCTTTTTGTTGCTACATAGTATTCTATTATATGGCTATATCACATTTTATTTATCTATCATCAGCTCAGGGGTATTTGGGTTGTTTATTAGAAGATAAAATAATTATTTCTGTAAAAACATTCTACCAAATTTAGCAAAAGACTACTAGATATAATTAAAGGTATCAAGATGGCAAGAATAAACCTCAATGCACAAAAATATATGTTTTTCCTATATAAAATTCATTAAAAATTAAAATTTAAGACAAAATATTACTTAATCTGGTATCAGAAAATGTTAAGTACTTGGGTTTAAATTTAACAAAATATGTCTAAACCTGTAAACTGTAATCTGCATAATCTTGCTGTGAGAAAGGGAGATGCCATGTTCATAGATCAAAAAAGTCAATATTGTTAGTGTCATTTTTCTTGAAATTGATCTACAGATTTAAGGCAATCACCATCAAAATCCCATTAGATTTTGTTTGTGGAAATTTAACCTTTGATTATAAATTTTTTAGCATATGTGAAAGACCTAGAATAATTTTGAAAATGAAGAAAACAGAAACCTTAAAGTACCTGATTTCAAGGCTTACTGTGAAGATATACATAGTCATTTAATTTTCCACAAAAGTGGCTTTAATATTTCATGGAGATATTTTTTAAAAGGAATATTTTTTGCCTTGTTTATTAACAAAGTGTATTAGACTACTTGATAGCCATATGAAAAATAAAAATTATAAAAATAAAAACTGGACCTTTATCTCACACCATACAAAGAAAAAATAGAATCAAAATTTATCATAGGCTTATTAATTTAGAAGCTTAAAATAAACAGCCTAAATTAAAAAATATTTATAGGAGAACACCTTTGTAGTTTTAGACTAGGGAAAAATATTGTGAATAAAGCACAATAGGATTAACTACGAAAAAATACAATAAGTTGTATTTCATCAAAATTTTCTGTTCTTCAACAAACACCATTAAGAAAATGAAAAGGCAAAAACTGATAGAATATAGTATACTGATATTTGACAATTAAATTATATTGAGAATATATAAAGAACTCTAGTAAGTTAATTACAAAAAAAACAAATTAAGCAATGTGATTTGGTGTAAAAAGAAAAGATTTAAACAAACAAACAAACAAAGACATAGAAATGGGCCGTGAGTCCATGGGAAGATGCTCAACACCACTAATCAGCAGATAATTCAAAATTAGAAGTATGATTAGATTCCACTAAATACCTCATGAAACATCAGACATTTTAAAGAACAAAATTCTAACACTGGCAAGGATATAATGAGAGGAAAACTTTCATACATTTCTGGTGAGATTGTAAAATAATACAACCATTTTGGAAAACTTTTCATGGCTTTCTTATTAAAGTTAACTAGAAAGTTACCATAGTATTAAGCAATTCCTTCACCAAGCATTTACTCAGAAGATATAACACATGTAGTCACAAAAGGGACTGACATATATGAATATTTATAGCAGCAATTCGTAATAGCAATATATTGACTATAACATCTATTAGTTGAATGCATAAACAAATTGTGCTATATGAACAAGTTTAAATTTTGTTTAGTAGTAAAATTAACAAAAAATACAAACAACAACATGGATTTATTTCTAAAATTATCATGCTGCACATAAGAAGCCACAGACAGAGAATACATACTTCATAATTCCATTTCTATTAATCTATAGAAAAGGCATCTATTCTGAAAAATGGGCATGGTGTCTTTCAACAAGACAGGGGTTGCCTGGGGTGGTTAGCTGTGAGAATTGAAGAAGAATTACTAGGGAATTTTTATTTGTGCTACAAATGTTCTGTATCTTGACTGTGGTGGTTGTTAAAAATACGTGGTGCGAGTATTTGCAAAACCTTTAACTGACCACAGACTTTTTAGAGCTGTAAATGTTTTTATTTTAAAATGCTTTCACTTAAAATGATTAGCTTTTATTGTACTGAATTTGATCACCATAATGTTCATTTAAAAAATTAAATTGAGAGATAAATCCAAAGCTCTTACAATGGTTCTATTATTAATTAATTATTATTAATTAATCAGGTAGCATTAATAAATTGCTTAACATTTTAGAATTTTCACAAATTAAAGAGAATAATTAAAACTAGGTAATATTAGCATGAAGGGTTGTTGAATTTTGTCAAAGGCCTTTTCTGCATCTATTGAGATAATCATGTGGTTTTTGTCTTTGGTTTTGTTTATATGTTGGATTACCTGTATAGATTTTCATATGTTGAACCAGCCTTGCATTCCAGGGATGAAGCCCACTTGATCATGGTGGATAAGCTTTTTGATGTGTTGCTGTATTTGGTTTGCCAGGATTTTATTGAGGATTTTTGCATCAATGTTCATCAAGGATATTGGTCTAAAATTCTCTTTTTTTTGTTGTGTCTCTGCCAGGCTTTGGTATCAGGATGATGCTGGCCTCATAAAATGAGTTAGGTAGTATTCCCTCTTTTTCTATTGATTGGAATAGTTTCAGAAGGAATGGTACCAGCTCCTTCTTGTACCTCTGGTGGAAATCGGCTGTGAATCCATCTGGTCCTGGACTTTTTTTGGTTGGTAAGCTATTAATTATTGCCTCAATTTCAGAGCCTGTTATTGGTCTATTCAGAGATTCAACTTCTTCCTGGTTTAGTCTTGGGAGAGTGTATGTGTCAAGGAATTTATCCATTTCTTCTAGATTTTCTAGTTTATTTACTTAGAGGTGTTTATAGTATTCTCTGATGGTAGTTTGTATTTCTGTGGGATCAGTGGTGATAACCCTTTGTCATTTGAAATAGGAACACTTTTACACTGTTGTTGGGACTGTGAACTAGTTCAACCATTGTGGAAGTCGGTGTGGCGATTCCTCAGGGATCTAGAACTAGAAATACCATTTGACCCAGCCATCCCATTACTGGGTATATACCCAAAGGACTGTAAATCATGCTGCTATAAAGACACATGCACACGTATGTTTATTGCGGCACTATTCACAATAGCAAAGACTTGGAACCAACCCAAATGTCCAACAATGATAGACTGGATTAAGAAAATGTGGCACATATACACCATGGAATACTATGCAGACATAAAAAAGGATGAGTTCATGTCCTTTATAGGGACATGGATGAAGCTGGAAACCATCATTCTCAGCAAACTATCACAAGGACAAAAAACCAAACACCGCATGTTCTCACTCATAGGTGGGAATTGAACAATGAGAACACATGAACACAGGAAGGGGAACATCACACACCAGGGACTGTTGTGGGGTGGGAGAAGGGAGGAGGGATAGCATTAGGAGATATACCTAATGCTAAATGATGAGTTAATGGGTGCAGCACACCAACCTGGCACATGTATACATATGTAACAAACCTGTACGTTGTGCACATGTACCCTAAAACTTAAAGTATAATACTACTACTAATAATAATAATAACAAACTAGGTAATATTTGAAATGTATGTCACTTCCAATTAATACAACTATATGTCTTAAAATAGTGAAATAAATTAAGATAAAAAATATAATAATGGAAATGGTTGACTTTAATATTTTTAAAAGTATTCTATGTAAAAACAATTATGGGATAATTATTACCTCTTATTTGAGTTCTATACTAAAATTGGGTGGGGTAAATCTTGTGTGCTTCAAAGCAATAATTTCAGAGATAATACATAAATTTTGCATAGAAGATCACTTTTGCTACTTGGAAATCCATATAAATTGGGTAGAATAAGTAGTGTTTTCAGAAGAATGTAAATGAACGATACATGTTTTTGTGAATTGGAGATATGCTTATTTGATGATACAATGGTTACACCAGCTTTATGCAAAATATGAAGGACATGTTCTGGGTGTTCATTTCACTTACAGAAAATGTTTATTTCATTAATAAGAAGCTTAAATATAAACATGCAAATCATAAAATCTAGCCTCATACTTTGAATTCAAAATTTATAGTCCTGCAGACATTTTGGTAATTGTATTAGTCTGTTTTCATGCTGCCAATACATACATACCTGAGACTGGGTAATTTACCAAAGAAAGAGGTTTAATTGGACTTACAGTTCCATATGGCTTGGGAGGCTACACAATCATGTTGGAAGACCAGAAGGAGCAAGTCCTATCTCACATGGATGGCAGCAGGCAAAAAGAGAATGAGGACGATGCAAGAGCAGAAACACCTGACAAAACCATCAGATCTTGTGAGACTTATTCAGTATCATGACAACAGTATGGAGAAAACCTCCCTCATGATTCAATGATCCCACCAGGTCCCTCCCACAACAGGTAGGAATTACGGGAGGACAAATAATATGAGATTTGGGTGTGGACACAGCCAAACCATATCATTCCACCCATGGCACCTCCCAAATTTCATGTCCTCACATTTCAAAAACAATCATGCCTTCCCAACAGTCCCCCAAAGACTTAACTCATTTCAGCGTTAACTCAAAAGTCCACAGTCCGAAGTCTTATCTGATATAAGGCAAGTTCTTTCCACCTATTGTTACTGGGGGGTCCTTGCTCCCAGAACTCCCAAGATAGTGGCAGGCTGCTTCCAAGATGGCAGCAGGCCACTTCCAAGATGGTGGCAAGCCTCGTGTTCTCTGATCTGGGGTTCTTGGCCTCACGGATTCCAAAGACTGGAATCTTGGGCCATGCGGTGAGCGTTGTAGCTCTATTAGAAGCCGTGAGTCATGGAAGAGAACTGTGGAACCCAGTGACTAGTGTTCAGCTCGATTAGGACGAACCCATGCACTTAGCTGTGCAGGAACAATGGCAAGCCTCTAGCCCAATCAGGAGTGTCAATGGGCCCCTCGCTGGATCAGGAGCACAGCAGACACCCTGCCCGATCTGGAGGGATAGAAGTCAGCGGCAGGTCTGAGATGGCTTCAAACAGCAGTGGTGGATGATGAGTGAAAGCTCAGCTTGAGCCATAACATACATGGTCCAGAACAGTGCAGTTGCAAGATTTAATAGAGTGAAATAGGGTGAAAAAAGAGCTCCCATACAAAGGGAGGGGACTCAAAGGGGGTTGCCTTTGCCGGCTCAAATGCCTGGGTTTATATCCCGATCATTGTCCCTCCTGCTGTGCTCTCAGGAAATAGATGATTGGCTATTTCTTTACCTCCTGTTTTTGTCTAATTAGCATTTTAGTGAGCTCTCTTTACTATCTGATTGGTCAGGTATGATCTAAATTGCAAGCCCCATGTTTAAAGGTGGAAGAGGTCACCTTCCCAGCTAGGCTTAGGGATTCTTAGTTGGCCTAGGAAATCCAGCTACTCCTGTCTCTCACTATGAACCTGTAAAATCAAGGCAAGCTAGTTATTTCCTAGATACAATGAGGGTACAGACATTGGGTAAATACAACCATTCCAAATGGGAGACATTGGCCAAAACAAAGGGGCTATGGGGCCCATGCAAGCCCAAAATCCAATGGGGCAGTCAAATCTTAAAGCTCCAAAATGAGCTCATTTGATTCCTTGTTTCACAGCCAGGTCACACTGATGCAAGTGATGGGTTCTTGTGGTCTTGGGCAACTCTGACCCTGTGGCTTTGAAGGGTACAGCCTCCCTCCCAGCTGCTTTCACAGGCTGGCATTGAGTGTCTGCAGCTTTTCCAGCTGCACGCTGCAAGCTGACAGTGGATCTACCATTCTGGGGTCTGCAGGATGGTGGCCCTCTTCTCACAGCTCCACTAGGTGGTGCCCCATAGGGACTCTGTGTTGGGGCTCCAACCCTACATTTCCCTTCGGCACTGCCCTAGCAGAGGTTCTCCATGAGAGCCCCACCCCTGCAGCAAACTTCTACCTGGGCATGCAGGTATTTCCATAAATCCTCTGAAATCTAGGCAAAGGTTCTCAAACCTCAATTCTTGACTTCTGTGCATCTGCAGGCTCAACACCACATAGAAGCTGCCAAGGCTGTGGCTTCCACCCTCTGAAGCCACAGCCTGAGCTCTACATTGGCCCCTTTCAGCCATGGATAGAGAGGCTGGGACACAGTGTATCAATTCCCTAGGCTGCACACAGCTCTGGGACCCTGGGCCCAGCCCATGAAGGCACTTTTTTTTTTTTCCCCTAGGCCTCCAGACCTGCGATGGGAGGAGCTGCCGTGTTGACCGCTGACATGCCCTGGTGACATTTTCTCCATTGTCTTGGGGATTAACATTTGGTTTCTCATTACTTGTGCAAATTTCTGCAGGCTGCTTGAATTTCTCCTCAGAAAATGGGATTATCTTTTCTATCACATCGTCAGGCTGCAAATTTTTCAAACATATATGTTCTTTTTCCCTTTTAAAAATGAATGCTTTTAACAGCACCCAAAGCACATCTTGCATGCTTTGCTGCTTACAAATTTCTTATGCCAGATACTCTAAATCATCTCTCTCAAGTTCAAAGTTCCACAAGTCTCTAGGGCAGGGGCAAAATGCCCCCAGTCTCTTTGCTAAAACATAGCAAGAGTCATCTTCACTCCAGTTCCCAACAAGTTGCTCATCTCTATCTGAGACCACCTCAGCCTGGACCTTATTTTCCATATTGCTATCAGCATTTTGGGCAAAGCCATTTAACAAGTCTCTAGGAAGTTCCAAACTTTCCAACATTTTCCCGTCTTCTTCTGAGCCCTCCAAATTGTTACAACCTCTACCCTTTATCCAGTTCCAAAGTCACTTCCACATTTTTGGGTATCTTTTCAACAATGCACCACTCTACTGGTACCAATTTACTGTATTAGTCTGTTTTCAAGTTGCTGATAAAGACATACCCAAGACCGGGCAATTTTAAAAAGAAAGAGGTGTAATTGGATTTTCAGTTGCACATGGCTGGAGAAGCCTCACAATCATGGCAGAAGGCAAGAAGCAGCAAGTCCCGTCTTACATGAATGGTAGCAGGCAAAGAGAGAATGAGGGAGAGGCAAATGCAGAAACCCCTGATAATACTATCAGATCTTGTGAGACTTATTCAGTACCACAAGAACAGTATGGGGGAAAGTGCTCCCATGATTTAGTGATCTCACACTGGGTCCCTACCTCTGAAAACACATGGGAATTATGGCAACACAATTAAAGATGAGATTTGGGTGGGGACACAGAGCCAAATCATGTAAGTAATATACACAAAATAGTTCTTCAAAGTATTTAGTTTTATCTGATAAGTCATAGCCATCACTCATTCAATGCAAAAATTTTACCTTTCCTCCCTTAACAAATACTACCCATATCAGAAACAAAAAATGTATGGTAGTTTCCCAATTTATTCCTTTTATTTTTATGATTATAAATAAACCAAACTGGCAAAAAGGACAATAACATGTTAGAAATATGATAGGTAACAAAGTTTTCTGAGAAACCATGTTTACCATATGTTTCATTAACATCTTTCTGGTAATCTAATATCTCCTTTTGATACATAAGGATTGAACATCTTCCCCATGGGAAGACTAAGGGCTGATGCCTCAAACAAGCCTTGTTTTAATTGGCCAAAGGCCCTTTTAGCTTCTGGTTTCCAAATTAGGGAGTGGGTTTTAGCTGCCTGAGTTTCGTTTATTAGGTGATGTAAGAGACAAGCTATTTCACCATACCCGGATATCTATATCCATAAGCTGTAGAACCCTGTAATGCCCAAGAATCCCCTCAGTTCCTTGAGGGCTTTGGGGAGGAGAAAGGAGGACTCAGGCTTGAACATTTCTTTGCTTAGTCTCCTGGTCCCCTCTGACAAGACTAGGCCTAGGTTCTTCACTGAAGGCTGACAGAGCTGAGTCTTAGATTTGAGACCTTATTTCCTCTGTTAGCTGCAAAATTAAGAAGAACCCTACTGTGCTCCTGAGAGACTTCCTCAGTTGGGGCACAAAGGAGAATGTCATCTACACGTTGTAAAACTACCCTGAGGATAAAGGAACTCAGAGAGATCTTTTGACAATGCCTGCCCAAACAGGTGGGGGCTATCTCAGAATCCCTGAAGTAACACCATCCAGGTTAGCTGGGTTGTCTAGTTGAAGGGATCCACTAATGCAAACAAATACCAGGAGTCTGGTGTAACAGTATTCAAAATAAGGCATCCTTTCAGTCCAGGACTGTGAATGATTTTAGTTCCCTCGTGTATTTGAGTTAACAGGGTATAGGGACTGGGAACTGCCAGGTGTATTGGAACCACAGCCTCATTAAGGAGGCAGAAGTCCTAGACCAGTCTCCAGTCCTCACTGGGTTTTTGTAACCCCAATATCGGGGTATTATAAGGGCTGTTGCAGGATTTAAGGAGGCCCTGCATCCTCAAGTTATCAATGCTAGCTCCTAGCCCTTTCTTAACTTCTGGTTTTAGGGGATATGTTTCTGTTTAGCTAAGGAGATAGGATCCTTAAGATGGACCCAAACTGGTATAGTGATTGTGGCTCAGCCAATTTTCCCTGAAGTTGCCCAAACTTCTGGGTTAATATTGGTCTCCAATAGAGGGAAACAAAGAGTCGTTCCTGAAGCCAAAAAGATGGTGGTTCCTACATGAGCTAAGATATCTCTGCATAGCAAAGGAGTTGGGCTTTTGGGCATGATTAAAAAGGCGTGAGTAAACCAGAGGTCTCCTCAACTACAACTAAGGGGTTGGAAAAATTTCAGATTAAAGGTTTTCCGGAGATGCCCTGCATGTTCATGCTGAGAGAAGTGGGGGGCCCAGATTGTAGAAGTGAACTGAAAGGCCCGCTCCAGTGTCCAGGAGGAGGTCCACATTCCTCCCTTCAACTTCCAGAATCACCCAGGGCTCCTGGATGGTAATGGTGGTCTGAACCACCAGATCCAGGGAGAGGAGCCCTGGGACCCATCAGTTCTGCTGGGCAGTTTGGGAGACTGGCTCTGGACCCAGCGGCCTGCATCTCCAGGGACAGTCCACCCTCCAGTGGTCCTATCACAAATTGGGCAAGTTAAAGGTGGCTTCCTCATGTGGCCTGTGCAGTGCTTCCTAAAGTGCCCTGGCTTGCCACTTTGTAGCAGTTAACAGGTGCATCTTGGGGATTCTGGGGTTTGTAAGCCTGCAAGCCAGCCATTAGAGCCTCTTCCTTTTTCTTCTGTCTCCCCTCTCTCTCAGGCTTCCTTCCAATCCTTATTGTAAAAGACTGAGGTGGCTACTTTCAGGAGGTTCTCCAAAGCACTATCTGGTCCTATGACTTGCTTCTGCAGCTTCCTCCTGATATCCAGGTTTGCCTGAGTAATAAAAGTATCCTTTAGGATTAGTTGTCCCTCAACTGAATCCAGAGGTAGAAAGGTGTGGTTTACCAAAGCCCTTCTTAGCCTTCCCAAGGAGGCCATGGTGTTCTCGTCTGATCCCCAGTCTATCATGGATAGTTTGGAATAATTGAGAGACTTAGTTCTAGTCCTTTGTATGCACTCTAGTATGTACACCTGAAAGTGTTTTCTTTCCCATTCTCCCATTTTATCATTGGGGTCTCATTTAGGGTGTCCTTCAATGGTACTGCTATTCTTCCAACTGGATAAGGCCCATTTCCTTTCCTGGCACAATATGATATATAAAGCTCATCCCCAAAATTTTCTGCTGCTTGCAGGGTGGCCTGCTTTAGCAGTAGTCAGGGTTTGATTCAAAAGTAACATAACATCCTTCCAGGAGATTCAAACACCTATGTTGAACTCTGTAAATCCTCTATATACCTGTCAGGGTCAGCATGTTACAGCTCTCTCGTTCCCACCACCTGCAGCACAGCAAATGGTGAAGGGGTATGTTTCAGCCTATTTGTGTTACAGCTCATTTAGTAATTCCATCCTGCTCCAGCCCATGGCTCCTGGGCTGGCCTGGCCCTGCTGCTACTTCTGTTCATGTGAGGTGGCCACCCAATGCTAGCAGAGGACGGGAGGGCTATGGTGTTACAGCTCTGGCTCAGAGAAGTCCAATGTCTGCACCTCCAGAAACGTTGCCACTCTTCACTCCCACAGTCCAGTGAATGGTAGCATGTCACTGCCTGCAGCTCAGTGAGCTGGCCAGGAATATGTTACAGCCTTTTTCATGCCCTCTTTTCAGCAGGTCCCAAGTTCTTGTCCCACGTCCAGGAAACAGAAAGTAATACAAACTAGTGGAGGGTGAGCAAGGCAGAGAAGAACTTTATTTAGCAATAGAACAGCTCTCAGTGGAGAGGAGACCTGAAGTGGGTAGGTCCTATCTGCAGGCAGGTAGTCTCAATGTGTGTCTGAGTGTGGCTGAGTCCAGGGTTTTTATGGGCTCAGAATGGAGGACGTGGATGCTGATTGGTCCATGAGTGGGCCCAGAAAATGCACCATTCGACTGGCCAAAAGGCATCAGGGAAGTTCTCACTCCAGGTCGTGGACTCCATGTCTGACAGCATCCTACTTGTATATGAGATGAAACTCAGTGGTGAATGTTAAAAATGTATTCAATTAATATGTGCAACTATTATATATCAATAAAAAAAGTTAAATGAAAAAATATGAATGGTATAAAATAATTAGGAATTAAACAAATCTGATTTAATTGAGTAATTATTCTAATACAGGTTGAGCATTCTTAATCTGAAAATCCGAAATCTGAAGTCTTCCAAAATCAAAAACTTTTTGAGTGCTGACATGAAAATACAAGTGGAAAATTCCACACCTGACCTCATATGATGAATTCCAATCAAAATGCAGTTGAACAACACCATATGCAACACCGTTTATTCAGTGTCCCTAGTAGAAAGAACAGCTTCCCATCCCCCTTCTTTTGCAATATATCTTCTCTGCACATACCCAGACTCCCCTGTGTGAGCCCACAGAGTATAATAACATGATACATGTGCAGGCTGGATGTACCATTGGTGCATTTTCCATAATGCCTCACATGTGTCCAAGACCTACATGCACTATTCACTGTGTTTTGTTTTTTCTGTTTCTCTGCTCTGGGGTATAAAGGTATGGTTGAAAATGTCAAAACGGGCTGCAGATATCCCTATGGGTAACAGTGATAAAGAAAAAAAGGAAGCATTTTTGTTTATCTACATCACGGAAAGTCAAGCTGTTGAAGAAACTGAACAGTAGTGTAAGCATGAAACATCTCACAGAAAAGTATAATGTTGGAATGACCATCATATATGACCTGAAGAAACAGAGGATAAACTGTTGAATTTCTTTGCTAAAAGTGATGAACAGAAGTCAGTGAAAAATAGAAAAACACTGCATAAAACTAAAACTGGAGATCTTGAGAGTGTATTGAAAGAATGAATTGGTCAGCATCACAGTGGACACCAGCACTTGATGGTAAGCTGATTATAAAACAAGCAAATATCTAATTGAAGAGAAATTTGAATATTCATCAGACTGGTTGAAGAAATGTAAGAAAAAACATGGCATTAAATTTTGAAAGATTTGGGATAATAAAACATCTACTGATCCTGAAGCAGCAGAGAAATTCATTGATGAGTTTGCTAAGGTCATCACTGATGAAAATCTGACACTAGAACAAGTCAATAAAACTGATGAAACACCACTTTTTTGGTGTTATTGTCTCAGAAAGATACTGATTACAGCTGATGAGAAAAAGCCAACAGAAATGAAGAATGCCAAAAATAGAATAACTATGCTGGGATGTGCTAATGCAACAGGCATGCATGAGGGTAAACGTGCTGTGATAGGCAAAAGCTTGGGTCCTCAAAATTTTCAGAGAATAAGTTTCTTTTTTTGTTTTTTACACCTCCTAGGTTCAAGCGATTCTCCTGCCTCAGCCTCCCAAGTAGCTGGGATTACAGGTGTGCACCATGCCCAGTTAATTTTTGTATTCTTAGTAGTGATGGGGTTTCACCATGTTGGTCAGGCTGGTCTTGAACTCCTGACCTCAAGTGACCTACCCACCTCGGCCTCCCAAAGTGCTGGGATTACAGGCATGAGCCAAGGTGCCCAGCCAAGTTTCTTGACAGTCCATTGTTATGCTAACAAAAAGGCAAGATCACTAGAGAAATTTTGTCTGATTAGTTTCACAAACATTTGATAACAGTCTTGTGCTTACTGCAGGAAAGTTAGATTAAATAACTGTAAGGTTCTGTTATTACTTCTCATCAAAAATAATGTTTATGCCATGCACCTTCTTTCAAATTCAGCCATGTGACCAGGGTATCATTAGATTGATTAAATAAGGAAACACTTTCTTGAACAACATGATAGCATCAGTGAACAGAGGCATGGTGTGGAAAGTTTTTGAAATTTTTTTTTTTTTTGAGACAGAGTCTAGCTCTGTCACCCAGGCTGGAGTGCCGTGGCATGATCTTGGCTCACTGCAACCACCGCCTCCCAGGTTCAAGCAATTCTCCTGCCTCAGCCTCCCGAGTAGCCGGGACTACAGACGCCCACCACCACACCCAGCTAATTTTTGTATTTTTAGTTGAAACTGGGTATCACCATATTGACCAGGCTGGACTGGAACTCCTGACCTTGTGATCTGCCCACCTTGGCCTCCCAAAGTGCTGGGATTATAGGTGTAAGCCACCACTCCTGGCCTTGGAATGATTTTAACAAGACAAATGTGATATATTCTGTTGGCAATGCTTAGAACACAGTGATTAAAAACACAATTGTTCATGTCTTGCTCAACCTCTGACCTGTGACTAAATTCAGTGATAATTATGAACAAGGTAGTGACTTTTTAGGATTTCATACATCAAGTGAGAGTAAAAATGATGTCTGACCTTTTATATATGCAAAAAATATAGCTTCAGAATCCATCAGTAAGCTTGAAGATGTGGATATCAAAAAAAATTTTAACATTAGAAATTAAGCTCCAGTGGTTTATTCATTGACTAATCAAAAATAGTCAAAATGATTATGAATCAAGGTGATCATGATAATAGCCATGATGAAGACGATGATGTTAAAACTGCGGTAAAAGTATAAATGACGTCAAAACGTGTAATGGGCTCCTTAAGAAATAGAGCTGCATGCATTCATATCAAAACAAAAATATGTCAATTTATAAATCAAAGAGAGACTTCTAAGGAAAACTGTTATTAATGAGGCAGATGATTCTGGAAGAAACATTTTAAAAAGCCATCCAGGAGCATGGATCCTCATGCCTAGAAGACTCACTTTCTGGTCCCTCGACTTCATCTGATGTTTTTTCTCACCTAAAAAATTAAAATAATATATAACGTACATAAACCTTTTAAATTAAAACACTGCATTATACGTAGGAACTAAAAGCCTGGCTTGTTTGTTGTTGCTGTTAACAGCTGATCTAAGTATTCTGGTGATGCTGCTGTGTTGCTTAGCTACCCGGAAGACAAATTTTCACTTTATTAATTGTATGCCTTTTTTTAACTGTTAATTACTTATCTGTAAATAAGTATATGAAAATGATCACTCATGAATAGCACATAAGTTCAAAGTCAGGAATGATGTTGATGCTTAAAAAAACCACAGATTGTCTACATGGGTGGTGAATATAGTGAAACCTTTGCTCTCTGATGGTTCTATGTACACAAGCTTTATTTCATGCACACAATTACTAAAACTTTTATATAAAATTACCTCTAGGCTATATGCATAAGAAATATAAATGAGCTTTATATTTAGGCTTAGATCTCACCTCTAAGATTCTCATTATGTACATGAAAATATTCTGAAAACCAAAAAATCTGAAATACAAAACACTTCTGGTCTCAAGCATTTCAGGTAAAGGATACTCAAACTGTACCATTAAAAACAAATATAACATTAATTTGTTGTACACTTGGAGTGATGTAGCCTATATCCTACCTACAGTGAATATTTTAGCCATATATAAGATATTAAAAATGTATTTCTTGAAATTATTATTTAAATTATAGAGGCAAGTGTATTTTACTTTGGATGAAACAGGGAGATTTATCTTTATTATCTTAAATAGGCTTTTCCTAGTTTTGTAATTTCAACTTTTTTCTAAAGTTATTTATGAGTAATTCACTGTGTTTATGCATTTAAAAATCTTTGACTTATAGAATCTTGGCTTCCTGGAATTTTTTTTTTTTTTTTTTTTTTTTTTTTTTTTTTTTTTTTGAGAAAGAGTCTCATGCTGTTGCCCAGGCTGGAGTGCAGTGGCTCAATCTCGGCTCACTGCAAGCTCCGCCTCCCAGGTTCACGCCATTCTCCTGCCTCAGCCTCCCAAGTAGCTGGGACTACAGGCACCTGCCACCATACCTGGCTAATTTTTTGTAGTTTTTTAGTAGAGATGGGGTTTCGGTGTTAGCCAGGATGGTCTCTATCTCCTGACCTCGTGATCTGCTCGCTTCAGCCTCCCAAAGTGCTGGGATTACAGGAGTGAGCCACTGTGCCCGGCCCTATTTTTTTTTTACTGACCACATTTTAGAAGTTTTATTTTTCTTCTGCAATTCTGGTAGGCCTTTCCTAATTAGCTATATCAGAAGTCATAGTAAACCTATAATATGGAAAGAAGATAAAAATATTAACTAACTGTTGTGAGAAGTCAGGGATGCCAAACAGAGGGACCAGCTGAAGCCATGGCAGAAGAACGTGGATTGAGAAGATTTTATGGACATTTATTAGTTCCCCAAATTAATACTTGTGTAATTTCTTATGACTGTCTTTACTGAGTCTCTAAACATAAATTGTAAAGATTTCATGGACACTTATCACTTCCCCAATCAATACCCTTGTGATTTCCTATGCCTGTCTTTACTTTAATCTCTTAATCCTGTCAGCCGAGGAGGATGTATGTCACCTCAGGACCATGTGATAATTGCATTAACTGCACAAATTGTAGAGCATGTGTGTTTAAACAATATGAAATCTGGGCACCTTGAAAAAAGAACAAGATAACAGCAATGTTTAGGAAACAAGAGAGATAACCTTAAACTCTGACCGCCAGTGAGCCGGGCAGAACAGAGCCATATTTCTCTTCTTTCAAAAGCAAATGGAAGAAGTATCGCTGAATTCTTTTTCTCAGCATGGAACATCCCTGAGAAAGAGAATAAGCGCCTGGAGGTATCAGCTTATAAACAGCCCACCTGGGTGTGGCCTGTCTCTTATGGTTGAGACTGCAGGGGTGAAATAGACTCCAGTCTCCCATAGCGCTCCCAGGCTTATTAGGAAGAGGAAATTCCCGCCTAATAAATTTTGGTCAAACCGGTTGATCTCAAAACCCTGTCTCCTGATAAGATGTTATCAATGACAATGGTGCCCGAAACTTCATTAGCAATTTTAATTTCACCTCGGTCCTGTGGTCCTGTGATCTCGCCCTGCCTCCACTTGCCTTGTGATAGTCTATTACCCTGTTAAGTACTTGATGTCTGTGACCCACACCTATTTGCACACTCCCTCCCCTTTTGAAACTCCCTAATAAAAACTTGCTGGTTTTTGTAGCTTGTGGGGCATCATGAATCCTAACAAAGTGTGATGTCTCCCCCAGACACCCAGCTTTAAAATTTCTCTCTTTTGTACTCTGTCCCTTTATTTCTCAAGCTGGCTGACACTTAGGGAAATAGAAAAGAACCTACATGATTATCGGGGCAGGTCCCCCTATAAATAACTGATAATTAGAACAAAATATGCTCTGTTTCAAAAATACTTAGGAACTATTTGTTTTATATGGCTGCTATAAAAATTATCATAAATTAGTGGCTTAAAACAGCAGAAATCTATTATGTTACAGTCTGGAGGCCAGAGTCTGAGATCAAGGTGTTGGCAGGTTTGTGCTCTTTTGAGCAACTCCAGGGAGAATCTTTCCCATTCCTCCCTCCTAGCTTAGCTTCTGGTGACTACCTTCAATTCTTGGCATTCGTTGTCTCATAGCTCCACCACGCCAATCACTACCCTCTTTATATAATCTTCTCCTCTATGTCTTCTCTTCTTCCTGTCTTAAATTTCTCTCTGCCTTCTCTTACAAGGACTCCTATCATATTTTGGTCCACCTGGATAATCCATTATTGTCTCAACTCAACATCCTTAACTTAATCACGTCTGCAGAGAATGCTTTTCCAAATAAGAAAACTCACAGGTTTAGGTGATTTGACAGAGATATCTTATAGGAAACCGTTTTTTTCTGCCTACCACAGGGAGTAATCTTCAATTGTGTGATATTAATTAATGTCATCCTCCCAAATTAAGGGCTTGTAAGGTAAATGGATGTGCTTTAGTCAAGAATAGGCCAAGGAAAACATCCTGCATGACTCAGTGGGATTGGAGTGCAGGTGCACAATTCCATGCATTATATAATCACAGCTATGTAGCCATAACATGGGGAGAATCCTCACTTGGCTTGGAGCCACTGTTGTTTGTAAAAGGTATAACTACCCTGCTGATACTGTACATGCTGCATGCGCCCAGAGAGAAAAAGTTAATCTGCTGACCGTGTGAGGGAGAGCTATCCATCCTGCAGGTGGACAGTGGGGAGCCAATAGCCAGCAAGTGTGCCAGGGAATGCAACTTTAAGTGTGGGAGCAGCAGGCGCTGCAGAGCTGGCTGCTAAGAGAGGCTGCAGTTGGAGCAGGCAGCCAAGATAAAGATGGACAGTTTGAGAGAGCTGCTGAATAAAACCATATTTCACCTGCCTACAGCCCCCCACTGAGTGTTCTTTCAGCTATTTGCCACCCATCCATCCACTCCCCCAGACCTCAGCAGCTGCTGGAACCTTGACACTTGGCATGACAGCACTGAATACACTTCAACTACCACTGGAAGAATGGTAATTATTTTTTACTATTTGGGGAAACTGCTGAAGCTGCAGGCCACTAAGGAGCTTATTTCACTGATAAATGACTGTCCTAGACAATTAAGTACCTGCAATACAGACTGCAGAGAGCCCCTTCACTGCCAGATGGCTCCTTAATGTTCAAGCAACATGGTGAAAAATGAAAATAGAAGAGCTTCTTTGGAGGCAAGTTGTTTCCAAGATACTTTTTGTTCCTGTTCTTAATGACTTTTGTCTTCACAAGTTTTCCTTTTTAAACCAACAACAACAACAAAAAAGAATTAAAAGCTTTTCTACAAACTTAGCATGTCTTTAAAAATAAATTATGAAACTATTAAGTTTAGCATTTATACTTGGGAACAGATATTAACATTGTTTTTAAATATGTTTTAAAATATTTGAAAATTCTAAAAATAAGTTATATGAGTTGAATTAAGCAGCTATATATAAATGTTTAACATTTATAAATAATATCTTGATATAAAACACAAATTTAGCACTATTGTCACTCTGAAACACTGGTGTGTTTTATGCAATACAAATACTTGAATAATTCTGAATTGCACACAACTTGTTGAAATGTTTTAAATGGAGAGAAACATTGTCATTTAGTTCCAAATTTTCAAATAAAAATTTTAAGAAGATAAATTCAATATTTTACTGATTTATCACAGAATCGATTTGGGCATAAGCAGATGTATATTCCTTCCTACTTTTGCCTCATCTACCTGTGAGCACAAGTGTCTAGTAATACAGATCACACATAATTAAAATGTTGTTTTAGTTACTTGTTTTCTTAATTTAACAAATACACATTTTTTTCAGGTTAGAGTGCTGTGATTTGACTTCAAGTGAAAGCCAGGGCTTCAAGGCCCTTGCAGTTTAAATCAAACTTGTGTCAAATTTGGTCAGGTGATTTTACACACAGAAAATAATACAGAGTTTGCATTATGTTCATCTCATAAATCAAGTGTTGGAAAATTATAGTTTGCAGAAAATATTTTACCTACAATCCGTTTTTTGTAAATTACAGACACACCTATGTGTTTATGTATTATCTGGAACTGCTCTCTCACTACAGTGGCAGAATTGAGTAGTTGTAACTGGGTCATAAGGTTTGGCTCTCTGTCACCACCCAATTTTTACTTTGAATTGTAATCTCCATAATCCCCACATGTCAAGAGCAAGACCAGGTGGAGGTAATTGGATCATAGGAGCAGTTTCCCTATGATGTTCTCATGATAGTGACTGAGTGTCAGGGATCTGATGGTTTTATAAGCATCTGGCATTTCCTCAGCTTGCACTCTCTCTGTCCAACCACTCTGTGAAGAAGCTGTCTGCTTCTCTTTTGCTTCCTGCCATGATTTAAGATTCCTGAGACCTTCCCAGTAATGTGGAACTGTGAGTCAATTAAACTTCTTTCCTTCATAAATTAACCAGTCTCTAGTATTTCTTCATAGCAGTGTGAGAACAAACTAATACTGTAATTTAGTGCACCAGTACCAAGGTAGTGGGGTGCTGCTATAAAGATATCCAAACATGTGGAAGTGACTTTGGAACTGTGTAACAGGCAGAGGTTGGAAAAGTTTAGAGGGCTCAGAAGAAAACAGAAAAATGTGGGAAAGTTTGGGACTTCCTAAAGACTTTGAGGGTTCAGAAGACAGGAAGATGTGGGAATGTTTGGAACTTCCTAGAGACTCACTGAATGGCTTGGACCAAAATGCTGATAGTGACATGGACAATGAAGGCCAGGCTGAGGTAGTCTCAGATGGAGATGAGAAACTTGGGACCTGGAGTAAACACCACTCTTGTTATGCTTTAGCAAAGAGACTGGTGGCATTTCCCCCTGCTCTAGAGATCTGTAGAACTTTGAACTTGAGAGAGATGATTTAAGGTATCTGGTGGAAGAAATTTCTAAATGGCAAAGCATTCAATAGGAAGCAGAGCATAAAGGCTTGGAAAATGTGTAGCCTAATTATGATATAGAAAATAAAAACTCATTTTCTGGGGAGAAATTCAAGCCCACCACAGAAATAATATGCATAAGTAACGAGGTGTCAAGTGTTAATCAGCAAGACAATGGGGAAAATTTCTCCAGGGCATTTCAAAGAACTTCATGGCAGCCCCTCCCATCACAGGCCCAGAAGCCTAAAGGGGAAAAATTGTTTCATGGGCTGGGCTCAGGGCCCCCCTGCTCTATGCAACCTGGGGACATTGTGTCCAGCATCCCAGCTACTTCAGCTCCAGCCATGGCTAAAAGGGGCCAAGGTACAGCTTGGACCATTGCTTCAGAGGGTGCAAGTCCCAAGCCTTGGTAGCATACCCATGGTGTTGGGCCTGTGGGTGCACAGAAGTCAAGAATTGAGATTGGAGAACCCCTGTCTAGATTGCAGAGGATGTATGGAAGTGCCTGGATGTCCAGGCAGAAGTTTGCAGTAGAGGTGGAGCCCTCATGAACTTCTGATGGGCAGTGCAGAAGGGAAGTGTGGGGTTGGGATCCCACACAGAGTTTCAACTGGGGAACTGCCTAGTGAAGCTGTGAGAAGAGGACCACCATCCTTCAGAACCCAAAATATTAAATTCACTGATGGCTTGCATCATGTACCTGGAGCAGCCACAGACACTCTATGCCACCCATGAGAGCAGTCAGGAGGGGTGTTGTATCCTGCCAAGCCACAGGTGTAGTGCTGCTCAAGACCATGGGAGCCCATCTCTTGCTTCACCATGACCTGGATGTGAGACACGGAGTCAAAGGAAATCATTTTGGAACTTTAAGGTTTAATGACTGCCCTATTGGATTTCAGACTTGCATAGGGCCTATAGCCCCAGTGTTTTGGCCAGTTTCTCCCATTTGGAATGGGTGTACTTACCCAATGTCTGTACCTCATTGTATCTAGGAAGTAACTAACTTGCTTTTGATTTTACAGGCTCATAGGTGGAAGGTATTAATTTTTTCTCAAATTAGACTTTGAAGTTGGACTTTTGGGTTAGTGCTGGAATGAGTTTAAGACTTTGGAAGACTGTTGGAAGGGTATGATTGTGTTTTATAATGTGAGGACATGGGATTTGGGAGGGGCCAGGAGTGGAATGATATTGTTTGACTCTGTGTCACCACCTAAATCTCACCTTGAGTTGTAATTATCATAATCCCCACATGTTAAGGGAGGGACCCAGTAGGGTAATTAAATCATGGGGTGCTTGTGCCCAACTTCTCCTCGTGATAATGAGTGAGTCTCATGTGATCTGATCATTTTATTGCATCTGACATTTCCCCTGCTTGCACTCACTCCATCCTGCTGCCATGTGAAGAATGTTCCTGTTTTTCCTTTGCCTTCTGCCATAATTGAAAGTTTCCTGAGGCCTCCCAGCAATGTGGAATTGTGAGTGAATTAAACCTTTCTTTTATAAATTATCGAGTCTTGAGTATTTCTTCATAGTGGTGTGAGAAGGGACTGATATACTGTAACAGTATGACCAGCAAAACCTAAAATCTTTACTAACTAGCCCTTTACAGAAAAAAGTTGGCTGGCTCTTGATCTGAATTATCTTTGTATAATATAGTGCAATTGGCATTCAGATTATAAAAGTTTTTTTGTTTATTTTTTATTTTTTTATTTTTTTATTATTATTATACTTTAAGTTTTAGGGTACATGTGCACAATGTGCAGGTTAGTTACATATGTATACATGTGCCATGCTGGTGCGCTGCACCCACTAACTTGTCATCTAGCATTAGGTATATCTCCTAATGCTATCCCTCCCCCCTCCCCCCACCCCACAACAGTCCCCAGAGTGTGATGTTCCCCTTCCTGTGTCCATGTGTTCTCATTGTTCAATTCCTATCTATGAGTGAGAACATGCGGTGTTTGGTTTTTTTGTCCTTGCGATAGTTTACTGAGAATGATGATTTCCAATTTCATCCATGTCCCTACAAAGGACATGAACTCACCATTTTTTATGGCGCATTGTATTTCATGGTGTATATGTGCCACATTTTCTTAATCCAGTCTATCATTGTTGGACATTTAGGTTGGTTCCAAGTCTTTGCTATTGTGAATAGTTCTGCAATAAACATACGTGTGCATGTGTCTTTATAGCAGCATGATTTATAGTCCTTTGGGTATATACCCAGTAATGGGATGGCTGGGTCAAATGGTATTTCTAGTTCTAGATCCCTGAGGAATTGCCACACTGACTTCCACAATGGTTGAACTAGTTTACAGTCCCACCAACAGTGTAAAAGTGTTCCTATTTCTCCACATCCTCTCCAGCACCTGTTATTTCCTGACTTTTTAATGATTGCCATTCTAACTGGTGTGAGATGATATCTCATTGTGGTTTTGATTTCTCTGATGGCGAGTGATGATGAGCATTTTTTCATGTGTCTTTTGGCTGCATAAATGTCTTCTTTTGAGAAGTGTCTGTTCATATCCTTTGCCCACTTTTTGATGGGGTCGTTTGTTTTTTTCTTGTAAATTTGTTTGAGTTCATTGTAGATTCTGGATATTAGCCCTTTGTCAGATGAGTAGGTTGTGAAAATTTTCTCCCATTTTGTAGGTTGCCTGTTCACTCTGATGGTCGTTTCTTTTGCTGTGCAGAAGCTCTTGAGTTTAATTAGATCCCATTTGTCAATTTTGGCTTTTGTTGCCATTGCTTTTGGTGTTTTAGACATGAAGTCCTTGCCCATGCCTATCTCTTGAATGGTAATGCCTAGGTTTTCTTCTAGGGTTTTTATGGTTTTAGGTCTAATGTTTAAGTTTTTAATCCATCTTGAATTAATTTTTGTATAAGGTGTAAGGAAGGGATCCAGTTTCAGCTTTCTCCATATGGCTAGCCAGTTTTCCCAGCACCATTTATTAAATAGGGAATCCTTTCCCTATTGCTTATTTTTCTCAGGTTTATCAAAGATCAGATAGTTGTAGATATGCGGCATTATTTCTGAGGGCTCTGTTCTGTTCCATTGATCTATATCTCTGTTTTGGTACCAGTACCATGCTGTTTTGGTTACTGTAGCCTTCCAAAGACTGTTTTGTTATTCTTCTAGATATGAAAGACTCATGGTGTTTAGGTACTTTATAAATTAAGATCAGGGAGATATTAAACAGATTAAAATATATTTTTTAAGTCCTAGGACAAAGAAATACTGAAAAGCATAATCTCCCCCTTTCCCATTGCTTTTGGGTAATTTATGTATAACGTTTTGAATTGCACATAATAAAATTTTTATTAATATGGAAAACACTTTTCTTAATTAAAATAAACTCATAATTCTTTCAGAATAACTTCTTCTACTTTTTAAAGAGATTTGCTTCATTATCTTCTTATTTAAATTATCTTCAATGCCACACCATTTAATTGAGGTATATGTTTGTGTGTGTGTGCAAGTTCTGACTTAAAATTGTGTATTCATCACATGTATTTGTATTTGATTAACGCAATGAATCTTGTTCATGGCAATGTTACCATCTACAAGAGAAAAATAATAAATATTCATCCAAGTGTATATTTCATAATATTATTTATAAACTATGCTGTACTTTCATACACTTAGTGACTTTTAATTTTGTCAAGTTATCATTTTGCTCATGAAGGACATTGTACAGTGTACTTCAAATGATAGTAGTATCATTTATTCTTTAATTTTATATTGTATTCCCATTAAAAGTGTTCTAATAAGAGAACATTTTTAATTCTCATACAATTTTATCTTTGCTTTTTATTTTTAAATACATTTTAATTAAAGTGTAATAAATAGAAAATATTTGCACAAATTATAAGTCTGTATCTTGGTCAATTTTTGCAAAATGAACATATCCTGTCCACAAGCCCCAGATCAAGAAAGAGAACATTGCTAGTACACTGCACTCCCTTTGTATTGTAGTTTTATATAAAAGAAAAACAAATTTCTGTATTCTTATGTATCTGATTTTTTTTCACTCAATATTATGCTTGTGAAAGTTATGTTTGGTAGTGTGTGTAGCATACATTTTTTTTTATTTCTGTACCACATAGTATTCCATCGTATGAGTCTACCTCAATTCATTGGTCCATTCAATTTCTTTCTAATTTAGACTATTTACAAATCATAATTTTAAAAATATTATTGTTCTTTTGATAAATCTATGTAAAGATTTCTATTTGCTATATACTTATGACTATAACGGTTGGCAATTGTGATTGCTATGTTTAGCTATGGTAGGTACTACCCATTTTCCATAGTGGTTCTACCAACATGTACACCAAACAGTGATCTATGGGATACTCTGCTGCTTCACATGCTTGTCAATGCTTGATGTTGTATATTTTTTTCATTTTTACATTTACACTTTCCCTGATGACTATATTTTCATGTTTATGGTCATTTAGATGCCCTCTTTTGTGAAAGCCTATTTAAATATTTTGCCTCTGTAATTCCAGCCTGATTAATGGAAAGGCAATTTTTTTACTTTTCAGCCAAAGCTAGTATTTACTTTCTAATATTCACTAGATTGAGCAAGTTCCTTTTATAATATTTTGATTTGAATTCAATGAATTTGTGTTAAATAATATTGCTAGCTTGCTTAGACTTAAATTCCACTTCTGCTACTTACTACATGTGTTGACTTAAGCAACTTATTTAAGCCCTTAATGCTTTTGTATTTTCTCAGTGAAGTGAGAATTATTGTAGCATATTTATCATGGCAGTGTTATGATAATTTATATATAGTATTTAACTATAATAGTACTCATCATATGGGAAATACTATATAAGTGACTGCTATTAGAATTGTTATCTTTCTCTTCTCTATTATAGCTATTATAACCTTGTAATTGGAAAAAAAAACAGCTTATCTGACAACTCATTAAGGCCCCAATTATCAACTTGTCTCTTCTAATGCCAAATTTGTGTAATCTACTATTTATAGTTGATCCCTTTTCTCAGTCTCTTTTCAAACCTATCTTTGACTTTCACTGTCTTTGGCATTTTTCACCCTGTGTTGCTTTGTTTGATATGAAGAATTTGCAAACTGTCCTTATGTTTCTAATATGCGTACCTATTCCCTAAGACACCTATCTTCTCACCCAATTCTTGCTGATTGCCCTTCCAGATAATATACTTTGCCACATATCTTTTATAAATTTAAAGAGCCTGGACTGTTGAAAATATATTTCCTGATTATTACTATTTACATATTAATGTTTTATAGGATTTTGAAAAAGAAAAATAAATAACATAAATTATTGTCATGAACAAAGTATAATTAACATTCTGCTTTCGATAAAATTGGAAGTTACCATTTCATATGACTTTTTAAATTAACATAATTTTTAAAAGAAGTTTTATGTTTATGAAATAAAGGCAGAAATTACAGACAGTTTTCTATATCTATTTTCTAAATAACATAAGAAATGATTGTCTTCAACAAAAGGATACTTGGGTGGCATTCTACTTTTACTGCTTTGTATGAGCACCTGTTTTTACTTAACAGACTTTTATAAAAGAAGTTCACATTTACCGAAAAAATGGGTAGAAAGTACAGAAAGTTTTCTATTATCTCCTTCTCCTATCCATATTTTATTACAATGGAATTAGCAAAAATCAATTATTATCAGGGACATTTTAGTTTCAGGACTGCTGAAAGTATAGCCTCTCTTCTTAAAGTCCCATAAAATAAAGTAGAATTTTTATAAAGTATATTAATACTAAACATGAAGATATACTAATAGAAATTATTCAAAAATAAGGATAAAGACTTTTTTAAGAATCAAAGAAAACAAAGCAAGAACACAGCATCACTTAGTTATGAGACAACTTCAAACAAATCTACATATATGTAATTAGTTTTCATTTAATCAGAAAATTTACTGGAATAAATAATAGTGAAAATATTTCAAAAGTGGAGAAAAACTATATATGCACTGATCCATGAAGTTCATCAAAACCAAGTACAAAAATGTTTTTAAAAAACTACACCATGATACAAAATAATCAAATTGCTCAAAATTATTGATAGATTGCCTTAAAAACAGCCAGAGAAGATGGACACATTACATAAAGGGAAACAAAGATAAGGCTGACAGCCGAATTCTTTTTCAAAACAATGAAAGCAATAAGAGAGTGGAGAAAAATATTTAAAAAAAACACTTATCAATCTAGAATTCTATACTCAGTAAAAAGATCGTTCAACAACAAAATCAACATCTTTAAAATATAGGATGCTAAAATAATACTCTTTCAGCAGACTAACATTATGTGAAATGTCAAAGGAAATCCATCATACAGTAACAAATGATACCATGTAGAAATATGGATCAAAAAAATAGGGAGCAATAAGGTGTTATTGGAACACACACACACACACACACACACACACACACATATGTATATGAGCAGCAAACATAATAAAAATGAGCCCACTAGAGATGGTACTTTAACACATTATTTTAAGTAATGTTAAAAAAACAAAGTTTTAAGAACAGAGTGGAAGAAATACTGACCCAGAATATATTCAAAGAGAGGAAGCTATGATCAATAAGCAGTACCAGGTACCCGGAAGAACACAAAACATGTACAAGGGTGGTTAATTTTTAGGCTGGAAAAGTATTTAGAGCTGAAAATAGAGTTGTTTCCCAGAAAATTTTGTGCATAAAACAGTAAACCCCCTCTATAACTTCAGGTCACAGAAAATCCATCAATCACCAACATAATACAGACAGAATTATTTTTAGTCACAGAAAACAACGTAAGAAGACAGTTCTTTCAGGAAGGTACGGTTTTCTAAGCGTGTTATTAAGGACTCAGAATGCTGTATTTTTTCTAAAGTACTTGTCATTTTACACTTTTCCCTTGTGGCCTCATGGTGGCAATGCAGCTTCAGGAACAACAGTTGTTGTCCAGGCAGAAAGAAAGAATGGGGAAAAAGGTGCCTAGTTTCTTTTAATCATCTAGAAAAGGCTCCCACAGAGATTTCTTCCTACATCACATGGCAAGATCTGTGATATGTGGCCAGTGCTAGCTGAAAGGAATGCTTAGACGTCAAATACTTTCACTTTCTAGAATCCATGTAGCAGGAAAGTAAAGGAGAAAGGAGTTGAGAATGACTTTGTTTGACTTTGTGTTTATAAAAGCTACAGAATAAAATGGTAAACCTGAAACAAAGAAGCCAAAAATATGACCAGAGAGAAAGCTGATAATTCAAAAGAAATGGAAAGTTCATTTAAAAATTACTTCATAATATTTTAAAAGATATTCCACAATCTTGTAATCAATTGGATCAATGCATGTAAAAAATTATAAAAGTCATATTTTGTAAATAATAATTATAATAATAGAATTTGTAAGTGTTCTGAAAATCCATAATGGTATCATTTTTGCAGAAAGCAATTTGAAGGTAAAGACACGCTAAAGCATGTAATTATGAGTGGTATTCAATCTGTAGCTCCAAATATCTGCTAACTTAGAAGAAGTAAAGTTAAAAATATCTTTTTATCTCTCTCACACACACTCACACATGCACGCACACACATGCACACCACTATTACCACAATCACACAATGACATAAACCACATATTATGATTGAGGAAAAATTCCTGCTAGTGTAGATCTCTGTATTCCAATCCCCATAAGAAATACCTGCCAGTAGCTGAACAGATAGAAACTGCCTTATTTTTAAAATATTGGTGAAGAGGAAAAGCAAAATGACAGAATAAGACCTTTCAGTGTTCATTTCCTTATAGAAACATCAATTTTAACAACTATCCATGAATAAAACTATCTTCACCAGAGCCTCAGAAACAGCTAAGAGATCACAGTACCTGGTATTGGCATAATTATAAGAAAAGTCACGTTGAAGAAGGTAGAAGGGACAAAGCTATCTTGCATGGATCATTGCTTGCCCCACTCCAAACAGCACAGCAATGAGAAAGACCCATTCCACTTGGGGGAAAGAGAAGAAAGTGAGTGCAGGACTTTGATTTGAACTCAGTGCCAGGCCAATCACAATGAAATCCAACACCAGGCAGAAGCTGCCAGCTCCTGACCCAAGACACATGTCTGTGGACAGAAATCCTATCCCTGCCTCAGTTCCAGGTAGAGAATGGTGGCCTTGTTGAAATAGACTCTTTCTGGCTCACATTACTGCTGGCCATCTGCTGCAGTCTCAAACCACAAATAAACCTCAGCATCAGGCATTTGGTGACAACATGGGCCTTGAACATTACTCTGTGCTGCTTTGGTCTCAGTAACTGTGGGATTCAGGTGGGCCTAGCATTATAGTGGTTGTGGCAGCCATGAGAATGCCCACCCCATTCTTCTCCAACCCCAGTCAGAATAGCAAAGAAAGAGACATTGTTCACATGGGAGAATGAGTGGCACAAAATCTTGCCTTGGAGTTTAAAGCCTGGACTACATGGGAAAGCCCAGCACCAGACAGAGATCTTCAGCACCTGAGTACAAACCAGAGACCATGGGTAAACCCTCTGGACCTGCACTGACCTCAGATGGAAACTCAGACCAAGCAGGATAGACAACATTCTTTAGGGACTTAGGATGTCATCTTGTACTAAACCAGCAGGAGTGACCAGGGGCTCAGAGAAAATAATAAGCACCCTGCTTACAATTTCTGAAAAGACAGGCATAAAAAAAAGCCAGACTGTGAGAACTGAAACAAATACCTAATTCTCCAGTTCACAGATGTTGTTGTTCAACCACAATCATTAAGACCATTGAGAGAACTATGAGTTTACTGAATAAAATGATGCACAAAAGATCCACCCTAAAGCAATCAATATGTATGATCTGCCAGGAAAAGAAATAAAAATACCTCTTTTAAGGAAAATCACCAAACTTCAAGAAAACACAAAGAAACAATTCAGTGGTTTATCAGAGAAACTTAACAAAGAGATTGAAATAATCAAACAGAAACCTTGGAGCTGAAAACTACAATAAAAAATTAAAAAATGCAATAGTGGGGGAATCAACAGTAGAATCAATTAAACAGTAGAAAAAATGGTGAGCTCAAAGATAGGCTGTTTGAAAATACACAGCCAGGGGAAAAATAAAAGAAAATTCAAAGGAACAAAGAACGCTTATGGGAACTATGAGACAACATCAGGAGTAAATACTCAGGTTATCGGGGTTAAAGAGGGACTGAGGAATTCCAAAGGTCTGGAAAGATTATTCAAATAGGCAGTATCAGAAAACTTTGCAAAACCAATAGAGAAAAATAAAAGTATCCAGGTAGACTAAGATCAAAGGTTACCAATCGTTTTTATTTATTTATTTACTTATTTTTAATTTTTTTATTATACTTTAAGTAAGACAACGAAAATAGGAAAAAAAAAAACTACAAAAATGTCCTAAAAATCAAGTAAGAAATCCCTGTAGTAAAGCCTTGCTTACTGATAGTTAAACAGAAGTGGATTAAATTATCTATTTAAAAGAGAGAGTGACTTAATAGATTAAAAAAGAAGATTCAAACCTATGTTGGTAACAAGAAACTCATCTCATCTTTAAAGAAACATATTGACAAAGCCAACAGATGAGAAAAGATAGTCCATGCAAATGTAAAGTGAAAGAGTAGTATATGTCATACTAATATCACATAAAATAGACTTTCTTTTTTGAGCCAGGGTTTTGTTCTGTCATTCAGGCTGGAGCGCAGTGACGTAATAATGACTCACTGCAACCATGAACTCCTGGGCTAAAGTTATCCTCCCACATCATCAGCCTCTTGAGTAGCTAAAAATACAGTCACACTCCACTAAGCCTGACTAATTTTTATGTTTTTAGTAGAGACAAGATCTCTCTATGTTGCCCAGGCTAGTCTCAACCTCTTCTGCTCAAATGATCCTCTCACCTCAGTCTCCCAAAGTGCAATCATAGGTGTAAGTCACTGTGCCTGAACTCAAAAAAATAAACTTTAAATCTAAAGCAGTTAAAAGAGACAAAGAAGGTCATTGTATAACTATCAAAGGGTCAATTCAACAAGATAATATAATATAATATAATATTATAATATATATAATATAATATAAGATAAGGTCATTGTATAACTATCAAAGGGTCAGTTCAACAAGATAATATAGTAATTGTAAATATATATGCACCCAACATCAGAACACCTAAATATATAAAGCAAATGGTAGGGGACACCCCACTTTCAGTAATGGACAAATTATCTAGATAGGAAATCAACAGAGATACAGTAGAGTTAGACTGCATTTTAGATCCAATTAACCTAATAGATATCTACAGAATATTCCAACCAACAGCTGCAGAATATATATTATTCTGAACAGCACACAGAACATTCTTCAGGAGAAATCATATGGTAGGCCACAAAGCACATCTCAAACATTTTCAAAAATTTGATTTAATATCCAATATTTTTTTTCTCACCACAATGCAATAAAACTAGAAATCAATAATAAAAAAAATCTCAGGACACTATATATATATGTATATATATATGTATATATATATGTATATATATATATACATGAAAATTGAGAAATACAATACACTCCTAAACAACAAGTGGTTCAGTGAAGAAATTAAAAAGAAAATTTAAAAATTTCTTGAGACATATAATAATGGAAATGCAACATAAAATAACCAATGAGATACAGCCAAAGCAGTACTAGGAGGAAAGTTATTAGCCATTAATGACAAAATCAGAAAAAAAAAAAAAAGGAAGATCTCAAATAAACAATCTAATAGTGTACCTCAAAGAACTAGAAAAACAAAAAGAAATCAAACCCAAAATTAGTAGAAGGAAAAATAAATAAAATGGATATAAAATGTATACAATCAATCAAGCTAATAGTTGGTTTTTGAATGGACAACAAAATTGACAAAGTTTTGGCTCAGCTAAGCAAGAAAAAAGAGAGAAGACCCAAATAAATGAAATCAGAGACAAAAAAGAAGACATTACATTAGATACTACAGAGACACAAAGTATCATTAGGTACCATTATTAACAACTGTACACCAAAACAACTGAATGACCAAAAAATAGATAAATCCCTGGACACATAAAACTTACCAAGATTAAATAATGAAGAAACAGGAAACCTGAACAGACTAATAATGAATAATGGCAGTGAATCAATAATAGAGTCTCTAATTGTATCAGTTTGTTTTCATGCTGCTGATAAAGACATATCCGAGACCAGGCAAATTACAAAAGAAAGAGGTTTAATTGAACTCACAGTTCCATGTGGCTGGGGAAGCCTCACAATCATGGCAGAAGGCAAGGAGGAGCAAGTCAAGTCTTACATGGATGGCAGCAGGCAAAGAGAGAGAGCTTGTGCAGGGGAGCCCTTCTTTTTAAAACAATCAGATCTCGTGAGACTTATTCACTATCACGAGAACAGCATGGGAAAGACTTGCCCCCATGATTCAATTACCTCTCACCAGGTCCCTTCCACAGCAAGTGGGAACTCAAGATGAGATTTAGGTGGGGACACAACAAAACCATGTCACTTATCCAAGAAATGTTCATGACCAGATGGCTTCACTGCTTCACTTCCAGTGCTTCTCAAATTCTTCCATAAATTGAATAGGAGGGAATTTTTCCGAGCTCATTCTATGAGGCCAGCATTACTTTGCTAGCAAAACCAGATAAAGACACAACAAAAACAGAAAACTACAGACCAATATCCCTGAGGAAAAATTCTCAACAAAATACTATCAAACCAAATCCAACAGTATATCAAAAGCATTACTCACCATAATCAAGTGAAATTTGTACCAGAGATGCACTAATGGTTCAACATATGCAAATCAATAAATGTGATACATCACATCAACAGAATAAAGGACAAAATTATATGATCATTACAATACACACAGAAAATTTTGATAAAATTCAACATTCTTTCATAATAAAAACTCTCAACAAATTAGATATAGAAGGGATAGACCTTCAAAATAATAAAGACCTTGTATAACAAAATCACACCTAATATCACAATGAACTAAGAAAAGCTGAAAACTTCCTTTTTAACATCTGGAACAAGACTATTCAACATAGTCCTGGAAGTCTTGACCAGAGTAATAAGGCAATGAAATAGAAAAGGAGGAAGTCAAATTGTTCTTGCTTTCAGATGGCATAATCTTATATATAGAATACCCCAAATATTATACCAAGAACTATTAAAATTAATAGAAAAATTCAGTAAAGTTAGAGGATATGAAATCAATATGCAAATATCAGCAGTATTTCTATAAATCAATAGTGTAATATCTGAAAAAGATTTAAAGACAATAATTTCCTTTACAATAGCTACAAAAAAAGACTAAAAATATTTAGCCAAGGAAGCGAAATATTTGTACAATAAAAACTATAAGACATTAATGAATGAAATTGAAAAAATACAAAAAGGGAAAGACATCCCATGTTAATTGACTGGCAAAATTAATGTTGTTAAAATATCCATTTACCCAAAGTGATCTACAAATGTAATGCAATCTCTATCAAAATACCAGTTGCATTCTTCAAGGAAGTAAACAGAACAACCCTAAAATTTGTATAAAACTGTGAAAGATCTAACAGTCATGGCAATCTTGAGAAAAACAAAAACAAAAATAAAACCCCCATGGAGGTATCACCATTCCTGACATCAAAATATAATAGAAAGCTGTAGTAATCAAAACAACATGGTACTGGCATAAAATAGATACAAAGAGCAATGGAAAATAACAGAAAGCCCAGAAATAAATCCATGCATCTACAGCCAACTGATTTTCAACAAAGTTTCCAAGTACACACAGCAGGGAAAAGACATACTCTTCAATAATGATGCTGGGAAAACTGGATATTAACATGCAGAAGTACGAAATTAGACCTTTACTCTTATCATACACAAAAAGTAACTCAAAATAAAATAAAGATTTAAATGTGGGAATCTAAACTACAAAACGGCTAGAAGAAAACATAAGGGAGAAGCTCCATGACATTAGTGCAGGCAAAGATGTTTTTGGACAAAACCACTAAACCACAGGCAACAATGACAAATACAGACAAATAGGATTACATCAAACTGCAAAGATTCTGCACAGCAGAGGGAAAAATCACCAGGACGAAGACACAACCCATAGAATGAGAGAACATATTTGCAAATTATACCTCTATTAACAGGTTAACATCCAAAATATACATTCGATTCTCAAATAAAATGGGCTCGTACTACACATACACTTAGACGTGGATTTTTTCTTCTACTTCTGTCACCTCTGATACAACAAAACCAACAACCTCTCATCATCCTTCTCCTGCTTAGCCTACTCGATGCGAACACAAGGAGAATGAATAATTTTTGGTGGTCTACTTCCTTTTAAAGCATAGTACATACATTTTTTCTTCCTTATAATTTTCTTAATAATATTTTCTTTTTGGAGCTTGTTTTATTATGAAATTCAGCATATAATACATATAACATATAAAATATGTGCTAACTCTTTATGTTATTAGAAAGGCTTTCAGTCAACAATGGGCTATTAGTAGTTAAGTTTTGGGGGCATCAAAAGTCATACATGTGCTGGGTTTTGGCTTCCCTAGCCACCATGTTGTGCAAGAGTCAAATGCATAAAGAAATCAAGTCCAACAACTCTACAACAAGAAAACAAATAACCCTAATAAAATATGGAAAATATGAACAAAATATCTGAATAGACATTTCTCAAAAGTATAAAATTGTAGCCAAATGATGCTTGAAAAATTCTCAACATCATTAATTATAAAGGAAATGCAAGTCAAAACTATAAAAGAGTGTAACCTTACTCCTGTTAGAATGGCTATCATGAAAAATCAAAAGATAGCAAGTGTTGGCAAGGGTGTGGAGAAAAGGGAGTCATTACACAGCAATGGTTGGACTGTAAATTAGTACAGTCATTCTGGAAAATAGCGAGGAGTTTCCACAAAAGATTAAAAATAGAACTACTGTATGTTCCCAGCAATTTAACTACTGAGTATATGTCCAAAGGAAATGAAATCAGTGTGTCAAGAGGGTATTTGTATTCATGTTTACTGCAGCACTATTCACAATAACCAAGATCTGCAATCAACTTGTTCATCAACCGATAAGTGGATAAAGAAAATGTGATGTGGTGTATGTCTACACATATACACAATAGACTACTATTCAGCCACAAGAAATTCTAAAATCCTGTCATTTGTGGCAATATGCACAAACTCGGAGGACATTATGCTAAGCGAAATAAGCTAGGCACAGAAAGACAAATACCACATGATCTCACTCATATATGCAATCTAAAAAGTTGTTCTCATAGAAGTAGAGAGTAAAGTAATGATTACCAGAGGGTAAGGAGGGTGGGTGGAGGAGGAGAAAGATTGGTCAATAGGTACAAAGCTATGGTTAGATGGGAGGAATAAGTCATGGTGTTCTATTTCACAATAGAATAGAGTTAACAATAATGTATTGCATATTTCAAAATACCTAGGAGAGGTTTTTGAATGTTCTTGTTAAGAGAAATGATAAATGTTTCAGGTGATGGATATGGTAATTACCCTTATTTTATTATTATACAATGTATACATGTGTCAAAACTTCACGATACCTCATAAATATGTGCAATTAGGATGTCTCAATTGCAAATTCAAAAAAGTATCAATAAACCAAAAAGAACCATTCCATAATCATGTAAATTATAAAGCATGATTTAGAAAGAAAAAAGAAACAATACAATCAAATTGATGGTGAAGAAAGCTTTGCATAAAATACAATACTAAATAAATTGCAAGCCAAAATTAAAATATACAGCTTTGAAATTGAAGATTTTATTCAAATATTACCAAATTCAAAGCACAGATATAAGAGCTCAGGGAAGATATAATAGGCTAACAGATGAAGCAGACTCTTAGGTGAAGAAAATCAGAAAATAAATTAAAAATAAAATAAAACCAATAAAGAAATAGCAACATTTCTAGCAATAGTAAACATATAGTTTAACTTATATATATGTGTATATATACACAGATATATGTGTGTATATGTGTGTGTAGTTTATATATGTATATATACATATATGTGTGTACGTGTGTATTAATATAGTATGTATACACACATATGTATATATATGTTTGTATATGTATACACATACATACACACATATATACACACACATATATATACACACATATAATGAGTTTTGCTAAAAACATAGTAAGTCATAAAAAATTAAAATAAATTATCAAATTGTGATAAAACATTGAAAAATAATAAATACGGAGGACAAATAAAGATGAATGTACATTTCTAATTAATCCAAGTTAAGAAGAAATAAAACAAATGTTTCTGTAAAATATTCAAACAGCTTTTGATGTTAATCAATATGTTGAAAGAGTTCATCTTATAGTGTAAAATATATGGATTTTATAACCTTGAGACAAGTCTTCACAAAATTTCTTGGACTTCAAGTTATCCAAAGCAGCCATAAACAGTGCTCATAATCCACTACCACACACCAGGAAACCTCATTTTGATTGTACAAGTGCCTTTTCTGATTAATTGGTGCCTGTGCCATTCTGATATTTTTAGCATTTGTACATAAAGAGGGAAGAACATCAGGAATAAGAATTCTCTACTGCAATGACAGATACTTCAAAACAGTGGAGTTATATAATCTAAGGTCAAAGAAAGTTTAGAATGAAAAACACAATAAATCTAAGAAAAACAAGAGAGATAAATCACTAAGTTAGAAAACAATGGATAGGATATGAAAACAGAAAAATGGTAACAACAAAATAAGCTCAAGAATTTGGTCTTTGAATGTTCTAACATATAGCTATAATATTAGCTCATTTAATAAGAAAAAGAGAAACATGTATATACCAGTGAACTAATATTGGAGAAATAATATTCAGTGAAAGTTTTAAAACAAATTTTAAAACATAACTTTGCATAGTTTTATATGAATATATTTATAAAGGAGGTTTTCTAGAAAATATATACAGAGACAATTAAACAAAGAAGCAATAGACTTAAATGAATTTTTCTTATAGGAGAAATAGAAACAAAACTTTCAAAAGTTCCCTTTCATAGAAAGTATAAATTCTTCAATTTCATTTTTAACTTCCACCAAAACTGTAAGTAACTCATCACTCCAATGCTATTTCAAATGTCAGATCACAGAGAATAAGAACAATAAAAGGTCTTTGAAATACATTTTAGGTCTCCATCAAACTAATGACCACAGAACTGCAATGCTATTTCTCTGTCACAGAAAACTACAGTACAGACCAATCTCCCTTCTCCATATTTGAGAACTGTAACTATTATTCAATATTAATATTTCTCAATAAAATTTGTCATCATAATAAAAATAAACAAAAATATGGCTATTTATCAATTTAGGCTAAAGATGAGTTGAATAGAATTAACATCCATTAAAAAAGTTTGATATTTTACTCTTATTTTTCTCTCAGAACCCACATTCAAGATCTCCACAAATCCTGTCAGCTGTCAATTTTGACATCCCTCAATAACTGAACAATTTTTATTATATCCAACGCTTTTACTCTAGTCCAATTTATTATCACAACTTTTCTTGTTATTCCAAAAGCTCCTATAACCTTATCTTCTTATTTCTAATCTTGCATTCCTGGGGTCTATTGTCAAAATAGCATCCATATCAGAGCTTCACTCTGCTGAAATCTTCCAGTGGTATTTCATGTCACTCAGCATAACATCCAACACCCTTACTATGAATCAAAATGGCTGAAATGATCTATAACTCAAAAAGGCTGAAATCCCGAATGGAATTACTATCCTTACAAAAGAGGTCCAAGAGAGACCCTGTGCCCGTTTTGCCATGTGAGGACACACAGGGAGAAGCTTCTGTCTATGAATCAGAAAGCAGGCCCTCACCAGACACCAAATTTGGAGACATCTCTATCTCTCTGTTCTTACCTTGTACTAGTCTCCCCCATGCCTGTTGTGCCTCAGCTCTCCTGATCCTTGGGTTTTGATCATGTGTCCCTCCACCACGAGTTCTTCTCCCTGATATCCACATTTTCACGCCCTCAGTTTTCTTTTTCTCTAAAAGCACCATTAGGATTTCTCTATTTCTTTTTATAAAATAACAAACTTTCAATCACTGTGTTCATTTTCTGTTTTGTTCACTGCCGTATCTCCAGTACCTTACAAACAGAATAAAATACACTGATGTTCAATAACCATTTTTGATGAATAAGCAAATGAATATGAAAAAATGAGCAATATCTTTATGTATTGATATGCAATCTTGCCTTTACTATATTGTTAGATGCAAAAATATTTTGTAGAAAAACAAGTGCAATATGAGCTGATTTGGATAAAAATATACATACTATGTCAGTGTATAAAGTATAATGTCAATTTTATGTATATGTATATTGAATAAGTTTATGTGTACCTAAAAACATAGGCATATCTTTATATAACTGAAAGGAAGGAATGAAGGAAAAAAGGAAGGCGAAAAGATCTGGTGAGATCTAACCCAATCCAAACTGTAAACAGTAGTGGCCACTGGTAGATATGATTTAATGTTTGTATGTATGGGTGTGTATAGGCTGTGGTGGCAGGATATTATGAGATTTTTACTTTTCAATTTATATCATTATCTATTGTTTTACTACCATTCTCTACAATTTTCTACTTATTCTCTACCATTCTTGATTGCCTTTTAGTTTTCAAAAACAATTAATATTGTATTTTTAACACAGTTAAAATATAACAGTCTTTGTTGAGAGCTGCTATGGTCTCAATATTTGTGTTCCCCCCAAAATTCATAAATTGAAATTCTCATCCCCAAGGTGATGGTGTTAGGAGGTGGGGCCTTTGGGAGTTGATAAGGTCATGAGGGTGGAGCCCTCCTGAATGGTATTACTATCCTGACAAAAGAGTCCGAAGAGAGACCCCATGCCCCTTTTTGCCATGTGAGGAGAGAGAGAGAAGTTTCTGCCTATGAATAAGAAGGCAGGCCCTCACCAGACACCAAATTTGGAGACATCTTGATCGTGGACTTCCCAGCATCCAGAACTGTGAGAAGTAAATTTCTGGTGCTTATAAGATATCCAGACTATGGTATGTCTAGCAGGAAAAATGAACTAAGATAAGAGTCAATGTTTCAAGTTAAAGTTAACATTAGATACTACGTTGGTTCTTATTTTAAAATAGATATTCTGTATTACATTGGTAAATACTATATTTTATTATGAAAAATTATTTTTAAAAACAGAAATTGCTGTTGAATTTTGTCAAACATCTTTGGTTTGTTTCACAATTATGCCAAATATTTATCAAAATACACTATATCTTCTTAGGACAGAGACTTACTAATGTTAGATGTAGATTAAATAATGCTGGTTACTATTTCTGTTTAAAGAATGATCTAAAAGTTGTACTCTTCATTTCTGTGTTTCTCATCATCCTGAAGCAGCTGGATTGATAGAATGGTGGAATGAAGGCCAACTAAGTGACAAAGTTTGTAGGGCTGGGGCAAAGTTTTCCAGAAAGCTGTGTATACTCTCACTCAGAGTCCAATATATGGTACTGTTTTTCCCATAGCCAGGATTCACAAGTTCAGGAATCAAAGGGTAGAAGTGGAAGTGACACCACTCGTTATCATCCATAGTGACCCACTAGCAAAATTTTTCCTTGCTGTTCCTGCGTTCAGCTTGCCTAGAGGTCTTAGGTCCAGAGGGAGGAATGCCGCCACCAGAAGACACAACAATGATTCCATTAAACTGGAAGTCAAGATTGGCACCTGGAAACTTTGGGCTCCTCCTACCTCCAAGTCAACAGGCTAAGAAGGGAAATACAGTGTTGGCAGGGGTGATTGACTCCGATTAACAAGATGAAACCAGTCTACTACTTCACAGTGGAGGTAAGGAAAAGTATCCATGGAATACAGGAGATATCTTAGGGCATCCCTTAGTATAACCACTCCCTGTGATAAAGGTCAATGGGAAACTACAACAACCCAATCCAGGCAGGACTACATATGGCCCAGACCCTTCAGGAATGAAGGTCTGGGTCACTCCACTAGGTAAAAAACCATGACCAGGTGAGGTGCTTGCTGAAGGCAAAGGGAATACAGAATTGTCAGTAGAAGAAGATAGTTATCAATACCAGCTATGACTATGTGAACAGCTGCAAAAACAGGGACTGGAATTGTCATGAGTATTTCTCCCTTATTTTGTTAAGAATATGTGTGTGCATGTTTACAGTTGTACTAAGAAAATATCTTCATTTTATTTCCTTTCTTTTTCTTTTATCATGTGAGATAAGATTTATTGACTTCATATCAGCATTTAAGTGTTGTTAGATGTATGTAATACAATTTAGGTTAGAGATTAGTTCGCTTCCAGTTGTATGAAGGATAGATGTGTTATGCTAGGCTAATTTTGACCACATTATTTTACTTATTTGGGCACTAAGTATGATTTCAGGAGAGGTGTATTGGTTCAAGTTGACAAGGGGTGGACTCGTGATGGTTAATATTAAGTGTCAGATAGATTGGATTGAAGGATGCTTAGATAGCTGGTCAAGTATTATTTCTGGATGTGTCTGTGCAGGTGTTGCCAGAGGAGATTAATGCTTGGGTGAATGGACTCAGAGAGGTATACTCATCCCCAATGTGGGTCGGCACCATCCAATTGGCTGCCAGCAAGGCTAGAACAAAGCGAGTGGAAGAAGGTGGGGTAAGCTGATTTGCCGAGTCTTCTGGCTTTCATCTTTCTCCCATGCTAGATGCTTCCTGCCCTTGAATATCAGACCCCAGATTCTTCTGCCTTTGGACACTTGGACTTATGCCAGTGGTGTTTGCCAGGAGCTCTTGGGCCTTCTGCAACAGAATGAAGGCTGCATTGTTGGCTTCTCTACTTTTGAGGCTTTGGAACTCGGAATGAGCCACTACTGGCTTGCTGGCTCCTCAGCTTGCAGGTGTCCTCTTGTGGGACTTCACCTTGTGATAATTTGAGTCAATTTTCTTTAATAAATTCCCTTTCATATATGCATATATCCTATTAGTTCTGTTCCTCTGGGGAAACCTAATACACTCTATAACTCACCAGAAACATATTTTTAATGGTTCAGTCTCTCCAGAGGGAGATTTTCTTCCAGGCAAGATAATGCTTGTAAAATTACTTTCATTTTTAAAAGCTAGTTCTGATATCAACACTTTTAAAAGACCAATTCTAAGTGTGGATACAACTTAGAGATCAAACCACTGTAAACATAGGTTAGGCAAGAATTGTGCTTTACAGCATGTAGACTTTAATTGAAATAAAATTTTCTCCAGAAAAGAATTTTCAGTTTCTTTCCTGTTTTCTTCCTATTTTTATTTTAGGTTATTTTAAAAGTAAAAGACAATAGACATGTGCAGGTTTGTTACCTGGGTATATTGTGTGTTGCTGAGGTTTAGGTTATAAATGATCTCATCTCCTAGGTACTGAGCTTAAGTACCTACTGAACTAAGTACCTAATATTTAGTTTTGCAATTCTTGTCCTCATCCTCTGGTAATATCCAGATTCTATTGTTGTTATCTTTATAGCAATGTGTTCCACTGTTTAGTTCCCATCTCTATAAGTGAGAACAGACAGTATTTGGTTTTCCATCCCTGTGTTGATTCACAGAAGGCCTCCAGCTGCATACATGTTACTGCAATGAACATAATTTCATTATATTTTATGGCTGTGTAGTATTCCATCGTGTACATGTGACACATTTTCTTTATCCAGTCTACTGTTGATGAGCATTTAGATGATTCTATATTTTTACTCTTGTTAATAGTGTTGTGATAAGCATACATGTGCATGTGTCTTTATGGTAGAAAAATTTACATTCCTTTGGAAAATATCCAGTAATGGGATTGCTGGGTTGAACGTTTAATCTGTTTTAAGTTCTTTGATAAATCACCACAGTGCTTTCCACAATGATTGGACTAATTTACATTCCCACCAGCAGTATATAAGCACTCCCTCTCTCTGTAACCTCACCAGCATCTATTGTTTTTTGACTGTTTAATAATAGCCATTCTGACTGGTGCAAGATGGTATCTCATTGTGGTTTTGATTGGCATTTCTCTAATGTTTAGTGATGTTGAGCATTTTTTCATATGCTTTCTGGCTGCATATATGATTTTTATTTTTTAAGTTTCTTTTCATGTCCTTTGCCCACTTTTTAATAGGGTTGTTTGTTTTTTGCTTGTGAATTTGTTTAAGTTCCTTGTAGATGCTAGATATTACACCTTTGTCATGTGCATAGTTTGCAGATGTTTTCTCCCATTCTGTAGGTTGTGTGTTTACTCTGTTAATAGTTTATTTTCTGTGCAGAATCTCTTTAGTTTAATTATGACACATTTGTTGATATTTTTCTTTTTGCAATTGTTTTTGACATCTTTGTCATGAAGTCTTTGCTTGAGCCTATGTCCAGAAAGGTGTTTCCTAGGTTATTTTCCAGGGTTTTTATAGTTTTAGGTTTTATATTTAATTATTTAATCCATCTTGAATTGATTTTATATCTAGTGTAAGGAAGGGGTCCAGTTTTAATCTTCTGCATATGGCTAGCCAGTTATCCCAGCACTGTTTATTGAATACGGAGTCCTTTCCCCATTGCTTGTTTTTGTTAATTTTTTTGAAGATCAGATAGTCATAGATGTGCAGCATTATTTCTGGTCTCTCTATTCTGTTCCATTAGTCCATGGGTCTGTTTTTGTACTGGGATCATACTGTTTTGATTACTGTAGCCTTGTAGTTTTTTAATGAAGTTGTTTTTTGCTTGTTGATTTGTGTTGGTTCCTTATAGATTCTTGATATTAGATTTTTGTTGGATAAGTAATTTGTTAATGTTTTTCTTCCATAATGTAGGCTGTCTATTTTCTCTGAGAATAGTTTATTTTGCTCTGTGGAAGATGTTCAGAACAATAAGGTTCCATCTGTCAGTTGTTTATTTTGTTGCAATTCCTTTTGAGGACTTAGTCATAAATTTTCCCAAGACCAATGTCTAGAAGGTGTTTCCTAAACTTTCCTTTAAGGTTATAATAGTTTGTGGTCTTCCATTTAAATATTTAATCCATCTTGAGTTAATTTTTGTATAAGGTGAAATGTAGAGGTCCAGTTTCATTCTTCTGCATAAGGCTAGCCAGCTATCCCAGCAACATTTATTGAATATAGAATCCTTTCCCCATTGCTTATTTTTGTCAAGCTTGCTGAAGATCAGATAGCTGTAGGTGTCTAGCTTTTTTTTCTGGGTTATTTATTATGTTCCATTGGTCTATGTGTTTGTTTATGTACCAGTACAATGCTGTTTTGGTTACTGTAGCCTTGTAATATAGTTTGAAGATAAGTAGTGTGATGCTTCTGGCTCTGTTATTTTTGCTTAGGATTACTTTAACTATTTTGGCTTTTTTTTGGTTCCATGAACATTTTAGAATAGCTTTTTCTAGCTGTGTGGAAACCACAGTTGATAGGTTAAAAGGAATAGTGTTGAATCTGCAGATTGATTTAGGCAATGTATTAGTCAATTCTCACACTGCTAAAAATCACATACCCAAGACTGGGTAATTTATAAAGAAAGTAAGGTTTAATTGACTTGCAGTTCCACATGGCTGGGGAGGCCTTACAATAATGGCGGAAGGTGAAAGAGGAGCAAAGGCACATCTTACATGGTGGCAGGCTAGAGCGTGTGCAGGGAAATTTTTCTTTATAAAACCGTAAGCTCTCATAAGACTTATTCATAAGTCTCATAAGACTATCATGAGAATAGCAGGGGTAAATCTGCCCCATGATTCAATCACCTCCCATGGGGTCCCTCCCACAACATGTGGGGAATTATGGGAGCTACATTTCAAGATGATATTTGGGTGGGGAAAGAGCCAAACCATATCATTCTATCCCTGACCCCTCCCAAATCTCATGTCCTCACATTTCAACACAATCATGACTTCCCAACAGTCCCCCAAAATCTCAACTCATCTCTGCATTAACTCAGAAGTCCACAGTCCAAAGTCTTATCTGAGACAAGGCAAGTCCTTTCCACCTATGAGCCTGTTAAATCAAAAGAAAGTTAGTTACTTCCTAGATACAATGAGGGTAAAGGAATTGAGTAAATGCAACTGTTCCAAATGGGAGAAATTGGCCAAAACAAAGGGGCTACAGGCCCCATGCAAGTCTAAAACCCAATAGGGCAGTCATTAAACATTAATGTTCTAAAATTATCTTTTTTGACTCCACTTCTCACAGCCAGGTCATTCTGATGCAAGAGGTGGGTACCCATGGTCTTGAGCAGCTCTGCCTCTGTGGTTTTGCAGGGTAGAGCCCCCTCCTGGCTGCTTTCATAGGCTGGCATTGAGTGTCTGTGACTTTTCCAGGCTTACAGTGCAAACTGTTGGTGAATCTACGATTCTGAGTTCTGGAGTATGGCAATCCTCTTCTCACAGTTCCACTAGGTAGTGCCCCAGTCAGGACTCTGTGTGGGTGTTCCCATCCAACATTTTTCTTCCACACTGCCCTAGCAGAGGTTGTTCATGAGGGCTGTGTCTGTGTAGCAAACTTCTGCCTGGACATTCAGGCATTTCCATACATTCTCTGAAATCTAGCCAGATGCTTCCAAACCTCAATTCTTAACTTCTGTGTACCCATAGGCCCAACACAAATTGTAAGCCACCAAGGCTTGGGGCTTGCACTGTTTGAAGCAACAGCTGAGCTCTACATTGACCCTTTAAGCCACTGCTGGGAGGCAGGGCACCAAGTCACGAGACTGCACAAAGCTGTAAGGCCATGGGCCTGGCCCATGAAAACATTTTTTTCCTCCTAGACCTCCAGCCTTGTGATGGGAAGGACTGCCATGAAGAAAAGCCCTGGAGACATCTTCCCCATTGTCTTGGTGATTGACATTTGCTTCTTTGTTACTTATGCAAATTTCTGCTGTGGGTTTGAATTTTTCCTCAGAAAAATGGATTTTAATTTTCTATCACATTGTCAGGCTGCAAATTTTCTGAACTTTTATGCTCTCCTTCCCTTTTACACATAAGTTCCAATTCCAAGTCATGTCTTTGTGAAATAATGAAACAATACTTTTAAGAGCAGCCAAGTCACATCTTCAATGCTTTATTGCTTAGAAATTTCTTCTGCCAGATACCCTAAATTATCTATCTCAAGTTCAGATTTGCACAGATCCTAGGGCAGGGGCAATATATCACCAGTCTCTTTGCTAAAGCACAGCAAGAATCACCTTCCCACCAGTTCACAATAAGCTCCTCATCTCCATCTAAGACCACCTCAGCCTGGACTTTATTGTCCATATCACTATCACATTTTGGTCAAAGCCATTCAACAAGTATCTAGGAAGTTCCAAACTTTCCCAAATCTTCCTGTCTTCTGAGGCCTCCAAGTCTCCAGGTATTTCCAAACTTTCCTATATTTTCTTATCTTCTTCTGAGCCCTCCAAAATGTTCCAACCTCTCTTTGTTTCCCAGTTTCAAAGTCACTTTCACATTTTTGAATATCTTTATATAGGTGTCCCACTACCCAGTACCAATTTACTGTATTAGTCTGTTCTTATGTTGCTAATGAAAACATACTCGAGACTGGGTAATTTATAAAGAAAATGAGGTTTAATGGGCTCACAGTTCCACATGAGTGTGGAAGCTTCACAGTCATGGCAGATGGTGAAGGAGCAAAGGCACGTCTTACATGGTGGTGGGCAAGGACGTGTACAGGGTAACTGCTCTATATACAACTATCAGATCTTGTGAGACTTATTCACTATCATGAGATCGGCACAGAAAAACCCACCCTCATGATTCAATCACCTCCCACTGGGTCCCTCCCATGACACATGAGGATTATGGGAGCTACAATTCAACACGAGATTTGGGTGGGGACACAGCCATACCATATCAGGCAGTATGGCTAAGTATATTGATTCTTCCAATCCATGAGCATGGAATGTTTTTTCATTTCTTTGTGTCGTTTGTAATTTCTTTTAGCAGTGTTTTGTAGTTCTCCTCATAGATATATTTCACCTCCTTGGTTATATGTATTCCTAAGTACTTTATTTTATTTTTAGGCTATTTTAAATGGAATTGCATTCTTGATTTGGCTCTCAGCTTGAACGTTATTGATGTATAGAAATGCCATTGATTTTTGTACATTTGTTTTGTGTCCTGAGACTTTACTAATGTTGTTCATCAGTACCAGGAGACTTTCAGCAATCTTTAGAATTTTCTAGGTATAGAGTAATACCACTCACAAAGAGAGATAGTTTAACTTTCTCTTTTTCTATTTGGGATGCAGGGTGTTGATCAAGCAAGTCTGCCTACAGGTCCCCCAGTTGCAGGCACAAGCAACAGTGCTGAAGGAGAATCCAGTTGGTTCTCAAACACCCAGAAGAGTGCCTAGGCATGGAGCTGGGAAACTTCCTTTGCTCCAAATTCTCTGTATGGGAATGGCCGATGGACTAAGTTTCTATTTCAGGAGAGTGGGTGTTCCAGATTCCTGGATATCTTCCTGTGTATCAGAGAGGACCTCCCTACAACAGGATTTCTGCACAGGAAAGCTGGGGTGGCTCAGGCTGCCGATCCAGACGAGCTGGTGTTCCAAATGCCTTTAGATCTGCCTGGGTATGCAGAAAAGAGGGCATTACTGAACCAGGATATTTGCACAGGAAGGATGAGGCAGGTCAGGTTGCTGATCCCAGTGAGCCAGTGCTTCAACTACGTGGATATTTGCCTTGGCATGGAGAAAAGAGTGCCTTGCTGCACCATGATGTGTGCCCAGGAAGGTAGGATGACTTAGGCTGCTAAACAAGGCAAGCAGGTACCCTGAATGCCTGGAGATCTGCCTGGGTGTTGAGTAAAGAGGGCATCCCAGTACCAGGTCCTCTGCACAGCAATGGTGGGGCCGCTAAGGCTGCTGATCCAGATAAGGTTATATTCCAAATACCTGAAAATCTGCCTGGGCATGAAGTACAGAGAATATCCCTGCACCTAGATTTTTGTATAGAAAAGGTTGGGTGGCACTTTGGGGGGCCAAGGCAGAGGGAGCACTTTAGGTCAGGAGTTGGAGACTAACCTGGCCATCATGGCAGAACCCCATCTCTATTAAAAATATAAAAATTAGTTAGGTATAGTGGTGTGTGCCTGTAGTACCAGCTACTAGGGAGGCTGAGGTAAGAGAATCGCTTGAACCCAGGAGGCAGAGGTTGCAGTGAGCTGAGGTCACACCACTGCCCTCCATTCTGGGTGATAGAGCAAGATTACATCTAAAAAAAAAAAAAAGAAGCAAGGAAGGAAGGAAAGAAGGAAGGAAGGAAGGAAGGAAGGAAGGAAGGAAGGAAGGAAGGAAGGAAGGATGGAAGGAAGGAAGGCAGGAAGGCTGCTGATCTAGAGAAGCAAGTGCTCCTAGTTCTTGGAGATCTGCCTGGGCATGGAATAGCTAGGGCCCCCCTTGTAGTAGGATCTCTTCACAAGAGGAATAGGGCAACTTATGCTGCTGAACCAGGCAAAGAGGTGCTCTGAATACCTGGAGATCTGCCTGAGCATGGAGTGGATAAGGCCCTGCTGCAACACAACCTCAGGTGAGCAGGCCAGTGTGCGCAGAAATGGCACACACAGACCGGTTCTGGGTCAACAAGCCAGTCATGACTGCGAGTCTTGCTGCCCAGGAGAAACTGCAGCTGTAGCAGCTCTCCGGCCACCCCAAGCTTATGTTGCGGGAGATCAGAATTCCAGCACCTACTGCTTAGCAATTTTCTACTGTTCTGGCTGGGGAGGCCCCTCTTGTGTTTTACAGCAGGTGTGCCAATCTCTGGCCCAAGACTGAAATTCCTGAGGTCACCAAAGAATGGCTGGCTTTGTATACATCTGGATTAAAAATGGCATCCTGCTGTCAGTCCTGGGTCTTGGAAAGTGTCTGTAGCTTTATCCAGTGTCTTTCTCTTACAGAGTTTCTAAGCCTATCCGTAAGTTAGCTCCAGGGCTTGAGAGATATAAAATATTCTCTCTTGGTCTGGGCGCATTGGATCTCCACTAAAGGTGAGTCACAGAGGGGAGATCTCTGCCTCTCTCACATTCATGGGCTTTATTCACTTTTATCAGCCAGACACTGTAATGTGGGCTGTTTGCAGGCACTCTCCTCTCTGGGATCAGGAGTGTCCTTCATGATTTCTTGTGGATTCTTGTTTTCCTTCTTGAATTAAAGCTCACAGAATTGATCTTCATGCACTATCTTGCTATTTCCAAGTGGCTGAGGCATGCTAAAAGCCTCTAATCCACCATATGGGAAAAGGAAATCCAGTTTATTAAATACAGATTCCATGTATATTTGTTTGCATTAATTTGTTAAAATCAGCAACTAGAACTGACACATTTTTGTGATAGTAATAGATGCAGCAGCAGAAATGATACTTTCAAATGAAAACTTGAAGATGACATTGTGTTATATTGTCATTTATGTGTCAAATATATATTCCTACACCGTCTGAATAATAGATAATGAAGCAAAATATATACCAAAGTAGTCAAAGTGGCATGTTAGTCAGAAAAGTATTACATTATAAATATATCACTTTCAAAATCCACTTATTCAAATATTTACTGAACATCACTATTATTATAGGGAAGAAACTATCCATTTTTTTATTCGTCCTTCTGAAAAAAAGAACTGTAATTTGGATGGAAGCCGCAATGTGGCCAGCTGAAAAAAGCATTTCCTAGTCTCTGTTCATGGTGATAAAGTAATGCAGATATGACTACTGATATAGATTTAAACAGAAACCATTAAATAGTGATTCATTCTCCCAAAAGCTCCATAAAAGTAGGTAGTAGGAAGGTGGAAGAGTCAGTTGGCATGCATTATTTTTTAATTTTTCTTCCTCCTTCTTCCCACTTGGAATACAATTATGTTACTAGAAGACGGTAGACTTTTATGGTCATGAGGACAAGAGCCAAGCCTTAGAAATTATGAGGCAGACATCTGATACTATCATGACACTTACTTGAACAAGCCTTGGGAAGCTTACCTACATGATGGCATGTTCTCCTGGTCTTTAGGGAGTTTAAGCCACTCCAGAATGATTCTCTAATATGTGAAACTGAACCAGTCCTAAATAGATATGACCTGTAAAGCATTTGCAATAGTTATTGCTCTCTAAAGCTTAAAAAAATGTTAGCTTTTAATAAGTTTTGCAAATGTCCATACAGATGAACTCAGAAGGTCCATACGCTCTCTTTTCTGAATCATCTGTCTGTATAAAATAACAGGAGTGATTTTTCCATACAGCAAAGATGATAAAACAAGTTAGTAAAGAAATAAGGTCAAATAATATTTATTTATAATTGTCATATGGTTTAATAATGACAGTACAATTACGTATACTTTTTTGGTAGTACAATTAAAACCCAAATAGTCCTAATCTCAAAAATTCTAATAGTCTACTTTAGGATTTTCTTTTTTCACTCAGACATATAGGCTACATTTTTTTCTCTATGTAATGTTTAGTTTGTATGATTTTTTAATCAACCAATCCTTAACTATGTATTTTCTATTTTACAACTACAGACATGTGGATAATGGGTTAATGTGAAAGTTACTAACTGTTAGTTCCTTGGATGAATGTCTTGGTACAATTGCCCTGGTAGGCCTTCATTATACTAATGCCAGAGACAAATGGACGTGTGCATTTCGACTATCTTAGTAATATGCCAATTACCACAGTAAAGAAAGTCTGTGTTGATCCGATTCAGTCATCAGGACAGCAAGACTTTTGTGCTCTGTCAATTTTCTTTTGGTATATTAACCCTGCTTTTTTAACTTTTAAACTAATTCTGGTTCATTTTATCATCTCGTGCAACCAGGGGCTTGCTTTTGTTAGCAAATATTCTAGCATTCTTTTGGAGACTATTGCCAAAAGTAGTCCACAAAAGCAGACATCAGACAATTTTACAAAAGTAGAACATCAGAAAGTATTTGCAGGTATTGGAATTAGGAGAAACTCTGTTAAATGTCATTGATATTTTATTTGCTTTTAGAAATGAATTTATCAAACTGGTAAATAATTATACAGTTAAAATGCTGACAGCGTTGTGTCAGGGTAACACATAAGGATTCTCTTTGATAATGATTTTTTTTTGGTCTGATAAGAAAAACTCAAAAAGCCGTCATACACTGTTACTTTGCTAAAGGTTTAAAAATAAGAACTCTGGATCACTCAATGGCTTCATGAGGCAAAAAGCAGAGACAGGGTTATCTTTGTCATTCAGGCAGTTGAAAGTGCAGAGTAATCAAGCAGGTACAGAGGCACACAGTTCTGCCTAATTTTACCACTAATCCTTTTCAGTAATCTCCTGAATAATTCCCCTCGTTTACATTGCTCAAAGTACCCAGGGACCTAATGCTTCTGAGCCTGAAAACACATATGCCTGACACTTTAGAAGGAAGGAAACTGCAGTCTCTGATTTGCTTTTATGTGCCTTAAGCCTCATTTTCCCTACAATGTTTGCAATAGGCAGTATATGTGATAAAAATTGCAAAGGATTTGATTGTATAATAAATCGCAACATTTCAGGAAATTAAATATTATTTAAGAAATAAAAATTAAATGCAGAGGTAAAAACATGGAATGCTTTTGTTGCTAAAGTTCATGTGACCTTGAATACAGATGTATACGGAATAGGTCAAGAGTTCAGATTAAAGAGCTTAATGCAGACCATTTTTATTGTAATACAACATTTACTTAAAGAAAGTAAACTGAAGTAACAAAATTCAAAACTTGCAAAGCCAGAGGCTTTCCCTTTTGTATAAATGTATAAAGCATCTACAGATAATTTTGTTTAACAAAGAGATGTCAGGAATGAAACCAGGAAGCTAAGCTGAGCAACAAAACAGGTGTTAAATAGCTGACTAGTCATATTAAAATGATTGTGTCCACTTGATTTTAAAATTCTGCAATAAAAATTTTCATTAAAAATTTCATTCTGTATATGATGTTTTATCATTTATCCAAAAAATATGTATTTTTAGGTAATAAAGATGAACTCTGTGTGTGTATGTGAATTTCTGAAAGGTGTTATTTAATTCAATTGGTGCCCATTCAACATCATCTCTGTGAGTAGGTTTTAATCATTCTTGTTATCTGTTTGTGCACACAATCTTATGTTTATTGGATAAAAATTCAAAATGGCTGGGTATCATCTTTTTCAGTCTTCCTCCCATCTCCCATTTTTGTCTCCATTATCCTTTTTGCCAGTGATTCTCTTCTCTTCATTGTATATGCTAATAAGGAGTACTTTGCATTTACATATGATTTAAGGGTTTACACATATGAGCTTGTTTTCATAAAAATAAAAATTTTCTTTTCCTCATATGCTATCGTCAATTTTAGGGTATGCTGTCCTCAAAAGTGCGAATGGGTGAGTTGAATCTCAGTAGAGACAGTTCTTCCTGCAATGTACTACAATACATTGTATTTGACATTTAGTCGGACACTGCATATATGTTCTTGTATTTGAGGAAGGCAAGAAACATCTTTTTATTGTACATTTATTTTGGTGGTTTTCACACTGTGCAGAAGCTTGAATATTAGCTCCTTTTCTTTATCTATTTTAATAATAACAAAAATTCAACCAGTAGAACTCTGAAATGCTGTGGAGACCATAAAATTAATCAGTAGAATTATATTTGCCTATAACTTCATTAGTTCAGTTCTCTAAAAGGAGACTACTAGCACCTGATCATCTTTTCTGAATAATCCTTGTTTTATTATTTAACTTGCTAAAATGAAGGTTTTCACTGTACTGTCATTGCAGTGATGTGATTGATGGTAATGTATGTGGACTACACTGTGTTTCAGAAGAATAATTTCTTTGTTTTCAAATTTGTTTATTTACTTATGTTCTGTTGGCTGATAACATTGCTTTGTGTACAACATGATGTTTTCAAGTATATGTATGCATAAAATGGAATCATTAAATCAAGTTAATTAAAATGTTCATTACCTCATGGTTATTGTGGTGAGAACATTTAACATTCACTCTCCTAGTTGGCAGTTGTCAGGAAAAAAATAAATCATTAATTATTATAGTCACAATGCTGAAAAATAAGAGAGCAATTTTAATGTCATTCAGCATGGGAGTGTAGGGAAAAGTGATGGCTCTCCTTTGGTTTATGAAAAATCATAAACTAAGTTAGAGTTTAAAATGTATGCAGTTGATGAAGTTTAAAAATCACATGATAAATATTTCTTCAATCAATAGCACTGTTCATTCACTAGCTAAATGTAATCTACTGGCATGTGTTCAAAGTATATTTTCAGAATATAAAAGTATATGATGCAAAACATATATACTGTAAACAGCCATAAGCAATACAAAATTCATGACTTTTTATATGTTACACTACTATGATCAAGTTACTCCCTAAAAGTAATACTTTTTTCATTAGAACACTTAAATATACATTTTTGATATTTTCTTGATAAACAATGTTCAAAGTGATTGACTTATTATCATACATTTTTTTGTAGTATATATGCTTAGCTTACTCATCAATGATTTTATATTTATAGTTGGCATAGATGCTTACCATTGAGTCAAACATTTAGGGTTTGTTTCTCTATTACCTTACTAATTATCTCTCTAACTTAGATTAGTTATCAATGAAATATTAAAGATATGTCTGCAGTCAAGCCCTCTAAGAGCGTAAATGTATTTTTATTTTTTTAGTTAAAACTAGATAGACAAGTATAATTAACTCCTCACCTTTGTAAAGGTACCTTCAGGTATTATTTAAATTATAAAATTTATTTAGAGCCTCGACAATGTTAAGGTGGCATGCTTATTCCACTAGTATAAAGAAAATGGCAAATACATATATTTTGCTATTAAAATGTACTTGGCATTTAGTAAGACAGTGCATATATATCCATGTAGTTGAGGAAGGCAAAAAACATCTTTTTATTGTACATTTATTTTGATGTTTACACTTTGCAGAAGCTTGACTATTAGCTCCTTTTCTTTACCTATTATTATTATTTATTTTTCAGATGGAGTCTCACACTGTCGCCAGGCTGGAGTACAGTGGCGCCATCTCGGCTCACTGAACCCTCCACCTACCGGGTTCAAGTGATTCTACTGCCGCAGTCTCCAGAGTAGCTGGGACTACAGGCATGCACTACCACACCCAGCTAATTTTTTGTATTTTTAGTTGAGATGGGGTTTCACCATGATGGCCAGGATGGTCTCGATCTCTTGACCTCATGATCTGCCTGCCTCAGCCTCCCAAAGTGCTGGGATTACGGGCATGAGCCACTGTGCTAGGCCTACCTATTTTAAAAATAACAAGAATTCATCCAATGGAACGCTGAAATGCCTGTGGAGGATACAAGATTAATCAGCAGGATTATATTTGCCTATGATTCCATTAATTCAATTCCAGACCCTACTTATGGGTCTAATGTCCTTTATTAGGCAATGTAGGAGATTCCTATACTTCTAATAAAGTAATCTTTTTCCATTTAAATAGTCTTTGCTTTTTATCAGGCAGTATGTATTTCCACAAAGTTAATTCAATGAAATACACCTAAAGCTGAGAGTCTTATCTCGTTAATGAATGAAAAATAGAAATCAATTATTCTGAGATGAGATTCTTCCTATAATTTTTATTAGTTGTTGTGAAATGGTACATGGGTTTGTCTTGAAGATATGATGATGTATTAATTCTTAATATTGAATTAAATGCTTCTGAAGTAGAGATGACTCTCTTTGTCATGGAGTTACAGTTGTTTGATTAAATTGCATTGAATTTTGAATGTTAATGTTATATATTAACTTAAATGAGATTTTCCAATATAAATACTCTGTGAACCTCCAGCCTTGTGTTTCTTTCTTTTTTTTTTTTTTTTTTTTTTTTTTTTTGCAGGTGTGTGAGACAATGGCTTTATTTATTATTATTATTTTATTTATTTATTTGTTTTGAGACAGAGTCTCACTCTGTCGCCCAGGCTGGAGTGCAGTGGTGCAATCTCGGCTCACTGTAAGCTCTGCCTCCCGGGTTCATGCCATTCTCCTGCCTCAGCCTCCCAAGTAGCTGGGACTACAGGCGCCCACCACCATGCCCCGCTATTTTTTTGTATTTTTAGTAGAGACGGAGTGTCCTCGTGTTAGCCAGGATGGTCTCGATCTTCTGACCTCGTGATCTGCCTGCCTCAGCCTCCCAAAGTGCTGGGATTACAGGTGTGAGCCACTGCGCCCGACCTCTTATTATTATTATTATTATTATTATTATTATTTTACCTCAGGAGAATGTTTGGGCAATACTTTTACATTGTATTAATACCTTACATATGAGGACATTCTTATATGTTGTCTTATTTATTTCTTAATGACCACAGTGACAACACAACTATCCCCTCTGCTCTCAGTCAAACTAAGGCAAAAATCAAAGTTAGTGACAATCTTCCCCACCCTCCAGAACAGATCTTGCCCCTGAATAAATAACTAGAAACAAAAGATGTGAAGAGGAGGTTCAAGAAGTAGATATAGTATGCTTGTTAGAATGAAATTAAAGCAAATGACTAGCAATAATAAATGAAGCAAGCAGAAAAAGGACTAGAAAAATTTTAAAGACAGGCAAGAAAATTTTTTAAAGTTGTATTTATGGTAACTATTATTATTAACTGTATTGTCAGTTATCTGAAAGTATACTTTGCCTATATTCAAAAGACAATATAATGCATAATCGAGTTTTTCTTTTGTTCAAAAACTAAGGTTAGTTCTGTTTTTTAACATTTCTATTATCCAGTGCTTAATTTATCTCTCCATTTCACTGAGAAATTTTATTTTAAAAAATGATACTACAAATGTCTTTTAGGGTCTTAGTTTCACTATGTCTTTCAGATCTTTAATTGAGCCTGATCAAGTGAATTAAATGACACCTTCATGATGTAGCAGTGTAAATTCAGCTTCAAAAATATCTAACTGATTCTGACTCTAGTATTTAGTCAATTAGAATGTGTTTAGTAACTGCTAGATTTTGGGCAGTTTACTAAACTGGAAAAGACAAGAGTACTTAATGCTGTGTAAACATGAAGCTTTACTTGACTCACTCTATTGCCTATTAAGAACGTTATCCAAATTAGCAGTCATAGTAATCAAATACAAGATGATACACTATTGAACTAAATGCCTTGGATTTGGCAATGGAAATAATGTTGTATGTCTAGAAACTTGTGCCTGACCACAGATTACAGCGTATAAAAGAGTATACAGAGAATGGCATGGTAGCTGCAGTGACTTCTGACACTAACTACCAGGGGACTCTGCAGGTTAAGGGTACAGTCCCCAACAAGACTATTTTTACTTCAGATACCAGCTGCAAGCTCAGGGGTTCCCAAGCCTCTGATGAACTCACTACAAATCTGGGGCTCCTCATTGACTTCTCAAGTAGAAAAATTCACTAGAAACTGTCAGAACTCAGGAAACTGCTATTGATACAAAAGTGGGGCAGGCAAGTGCTGGGAGTAGAAGGGCGGGTCCCTGGCGAGGGCTCCACCCCCCAGACCTGTGCCCACTGACCTAGATGAAGACAGGCACTCCTGCCTTTGCGCCCAAATGTTGCATTTCCCAAGACCACCCTGGCCTGCCACACCCCCAACCTGTGCCTATGCAAACCCCCAGACCCTAGGAGGCAGACAAACAAGTGACTGGAAGTGGAGCAGAACACATTGGCAGAAGACACAAGTGGCTGGACGTCAAGAGGACGTTGAGGAGAGCATGCCGGTGGAAGAGCACATGACAGACGCCAGCAGGCCTGCAGGCCATCAACCAGCAGAACAAGGCAGAGTTTGGCCGGGACAGTTGAAGGAGAGCCCCAGCCACGGACAACGGGGAAACTATTCCCCTTCTGGCTCCCCATCTGCTGAGAGCTACTTCCACTCAATAAAACTTTGCACTCATTCTCCAAGCCCACGTGTGATCCGATTCTTTCCCGTACACCAAGGCAAGAACCCCAGGATACAGAAAGCCCTCTGTCCTTGAGACAAGGCAGAGGTCTAACTGAGCTGACTAACACAAGCCACCTATGGATGGCTAAACTGAAAGAGCACTCTGTAACACACGCCCCTTGGAGGGCTTCAGCCGTAAACATTCACCCCTAGACACAGCTGTGGGGTTGGAGCCCCACAGCCTCCCCGTCTATATGCTCCCCTAGAGGTTTGAGCAGTGGAGCACTGAAGAAGCGAGCCACACCCCATCATACACCCTGCAAGGGGAACAAGGAAACCTTTCCTGTTTCACTATATTGATGATGATATTTTTATTATAGCAAAAAGGATACATATCAGGACCAGTCAAAAAAATGTAAACAATGAGGTTGGAAGGGGTCCAATTGCAAAGCTTTCATGTCCTCTCGCTTCAGAGACAGGACACATCATCCCTCCAGTATATTAATGTGTAACAATTTACAGAATATTGTTAACCAGCAAAGCTCATCCGAGCATCATTTTGATTACATAAGCATGATTAATCAGCCAAATGACTGAACTCAATCTCCAGCCCCCATCACCTTCCTGGAAGGCAAACTTATAGTATAGTATAAAATCCCCAACTGTTAATTACATACTAGTCTTTTGGACATGGCTAGGCCCCATCCTGAGACATCTTGTTTGCACAAACTACCGAGAGACCCACTGTTAGTCATCTCACTGGCTTATGCCAGTGTGGTCCCAGGGTCTCATCATGAAGAACAGAGACACTTCTATCACTGGGGAAATTACAAGGATTTAGAAGCTCCCTCCCAGGAACCAGGAAGAAAGGCCAGTCAAGTTCTTTGTTATATGGCAGTAGCAGAGAAGACCCAGCCTACTCTCACTATAGTGATGAATGGGTCTGGCTCTATGCTTATCGAATTTAAAAAATGATATAAAGATGGACTTTGTTTCTACCATTATATTAAATTATTTTATCAGTGTTACTTTTATAATAATAGTTAAATTACATTTGGCAGAAACATAATATGGGGTATATTGGTGTATATTAAAAGTATTTTTCTAATATGTGTATATATATAATATTATATATATATAATTTTTTTTTCAAAAAATCCGGTTGAAACAGTGTAATTACTTTCAAGAAACAAAACTGACTTCAATAATTTAAAAACTATCCTCGGGACCCTTGAGTCTCTTAAAGTTTCTGATTTTATTTTACTTTTAATTACACCCATCTTCAATAGATTGTGCTGAAAACTTTTGATAGACTTAGAAAACTAGGTAATATTTATGCTTATAGCTTTTTAAACAAAGAAAAAAAATTAGTGATCCAGTGACATTTTTCATGAAACTATTAAAGGGTAAAAGAAAAAAGATAAAAAGAAAAATTCATATCTAGAAATAAATAGAAACCTTTACTTTCAGAAAAAGGGTTGTAACATTTTAGGGTATGAAAGAAAAATGTTTTCATAAAAAACATAATCTTAAGAAAAGAGCAGTCTCTAATAATAATGCAACATGCTCTATAAAGCATTCTAATTCATTTTTTCTTCTATTTTAAAAAAGAAAAACTTTACAAAAAATAGGATGCCTCTGTGATTTGGAAATCTTCAATTAAGACTTGAGATTTGAAGCAAGGTAGATATATGTAAGTACCTTTCAGAATTTTTATCTTAAAGTATATTTCAAATTGCATAAGACTTATAGAAGATTACTTCTATAATAAATGCTTACTGCTTGTGAAGTGATGAAGATATTAAAAAAAACCTTTAGGCAAATTAAATTTAGCAGAGTTTAATTGAGTGGAGAACAATTCTCCAATCCAGCAGCCAAGAGAGCCAGAAGAGTTTCAGAGTGACTCTAGGGCCACCACATGGTCAGATCACAGAAAAAGGAAAGTGACATACCAAAAATGGAAGTAAGCTACAGAGACAGCTGGATTGGTTACAGCTCAGCATTTGCCTTTTTCAAACACGATTTCAAGAGTTGCTCACCTGTGATTGGACAAAACTCTATTATAGATACAAGAGTAGGTTACAGCCTATTGACACATCCAATTAGGTTACATTTTACTATATATGGAGAAATTTTTAGGCCACACTTAAATAGGTAGGGAGGAAGCGTTAGACTTAATTTAAGAAAGGCTATTTGAAAATACAGAGTTTACATTTTGTTTCAGCCAAGGTTTTCCAGAGAAACAGAACCAATAGGATGTGTGTATACACAGAATAATCTTTATCATAAAAAATTGGCTCATGTAATTATGGAGGGTGATGAGTCTCAAATCTCCTATGTAGGCCACCAGGCTGAAGACCCAGGAGAGCCAATGCTGCAGTTCCAGTCTGAAGGTTGACAAGCAGAGACCAAGAAGAGTTGATGGTGCAGATAAAGTCTGAGAGCATTCTGTTGGAGAATCTCCTCTTGCTCTAGGAAACCAGTCATTTGTTCTATTCAAATTTTCAACTGATTGGTTGAGGCCCACCCACATTATGGAGGACAGTCTCCTTACTCAAAGTCCATTGAATTATGTTAACCCTATCCAAAAATACCCTTCAAATTGGTACATAAAATTATCTGTCACATCCTCAGAATACTGAACCAGATTTGGTTATCAGAATAAATATCTTAACAAAAATATTAACATGTTTACCTTAACAGATCATTTCAGCTGTTAATATTTCAGCAACTAAGTCTACATAGCAGATACACTGGCATGTGTCGTGTGTGTGTGTGTGTGTGTGTGTGTGTGTGTGTGATTGTAGATTAACAGTAGATTCTCCAAGGAGTAAGAAAATGAAAAGGAATGAGGATTTTGTTTTAAAGCTTTCTGTTCTGGTTTGATTTGTATTTTCACAAGGAATATAATCATTTTTAAAAATTAGTGCACAAGTAAAGTTAAAAATAAATGCAATAGTCCTTTAGGAATTGACTCACTACAAAAAATAAATTATTATGTATACTATTTTGGAATTTATCTGCAACATCTAAATAGATTTCATTTGATTATCAACTCCAACAAAATACAATTAAGAAAAGTGTGGTGTGGACAAGGAAATACTATATCTGGAGCCAAAAGCCCTGAAGTTATGCCTGGGTTCAATTATTTTGAAACCATATAAATTCTCTGAACTTCAGGTTTCAAATATGTAGACACAGAAATAATAATTACAACTGATTTGCTACATGATAATCAATAAATTCGTGTTATATTAAACCACTCTGTAAATGGTGAAAACACATATTAGCTAATTTGGTCCAAGTTTTTTTACCATAATCAACAAAACTAATAAGTAGAGCAGCTAGGAAAAAAATTTAGTTGGCCTAATCTTTTATTTAGTGCTCTTTTCCAAGTATCACACTGTTCTTGAAGATAGACTATGTCATCTGTCAAATATGCTACCAAATATACTAATTTATTGTTAAGAATCTATACCACTAGCAGCAGTAGTGGTGGTAGTTGTGTACGTGGTGGTAAGGAAATCCCATTCTACAAAGTGAGAGATGCTACTGTCGGATCTAATACCTAAACACTAGTCTCAACCAAAATCCATTTTAAAAACAACACATAATACACGCATCCTACTTGAAAGTCATACCTGGGACATTATTTGCTACATGTGCATATGTTGGAGGGTGGGAAATGGGACAGTTATATCATTCATTAAGCAAGCTGAGAAAACCTGCACTGGAAGTAAGCATCAAACATCTTTAACTCTCCATACACCTGCATTCTGGTGGAGTAAGACTGTTTTGGCAGTTTGTTAATGACGAGGTTAAAAATATGCACATAAGGAGAATAAATAAAATGCACCTATATAAGTAAAAAATAGTTTTTGGAAAAGATCATAATGTGGCACTCTAGCAATAAAATTGTTATTCCAGAAACTCCAGATTATAGATAATTTCTCTATGAAAAATAAATCTTGAAGGAAACACATGTGCTCATTACAGCTTTTAAAATGTCTAAAGCAGTTGGTCATATACTGGGTCTTTACAACCTAAATTAGTTATAACAAGACTAATACATAATAGTATTTTTATTATATCTACAATTTTTATTATATCTACAATTAGTAAAATTGTAGATATAAGAGTCAGGTACATAAATAAAAAGATAACCTGTTTAGTATCTGGATGCTTTATGCTCTCTGTCTGTAAAATAATGATAGTAACTATTTGCCTCATAGCAATATTTTAAGCATTAAGGGAGATAATATATTTAAGCTCTTTAAAGCAATCCCTGACACACTCAATAAATATCACCTATTGTTATTACTATTATATTTAAACTGATAACAGGGTGTTGTGGTTGAGTCATTTATTTATGCTTCCCAGTCAACATTTGATAATAATGAGTTAAGCTATTTAACTACCTGTATCTCCTTTAACTCATGAAGATAATACTCTTCCACCATTTCTGAAACAATAGCGCTTGAATAGTGTTAGAAAAATTATAATTCTTCAGTAAGAAACCAATTAGAACCAATTAATTAATCTATTCTCTAAACAAAGAAAGTAAAATGTTTCAAGGTCTCTATGTTTCACTCCAACCACAGCTTTCAAAAACTACACAGTATTCAATGAATTTGTCATTAGGCATTATTTTCATTTTGGGAGGCTTAAAATATGGATAAAAAGAAACAGTTTTTATAATTGAAGTTGTATGTTGTCTTTTCTCCTAAACTTTTAAATAGGGAGAGCTGTACATACATATTTTTGTGTTAACCATAGACTAAAGTTAAAAATGTTTTTATCTGGTAAACTATATACCATAGGAGATGAAAATCTATAATAACTAGAAAGTAAAATTCCAAACAGAACAAATGACTATAGGTAAAAGAATTGCTTGCTATTCTTTATTTTTCTCCTTTTTTGATATAATTTTATCTTGCTTAGCTTTAATATTCTTTTATTTTATATATGTATAAATAAACTCAAATATAGTCTTGCTGACATGTGTATGGATATACATATATTTATTTATTCAAATACATGTAGCATATGAAAAAACTTAGAATGTTAAAGTACTCTTTAACTTTTTAACCCATTCTTCCCACACATACAATGCTACAATATTTTCAAAATCATAGTTAACAGCTTTCTATATAAACTTCCTGACAAATTTTTGCTAACTGACTCTATTTGTCTTGTAGGTATTTTCAGCATTTATTTACTTAATGGAACAGCAAACAGAATTTCCCTATGTATTCAGAGGAAAATAAATATGTTGCCTCTAAAGGCAGATGCATACTTGACATTGGACAGAGAACACCCCAACCATGCCAACAGAAGCATCCCTGAAAATTAGAAGGACAAAAAGAGTGGGTAGCACAGGTGAGCTTGCAGCATTATGTGGTTTTCATAATCCATCTGGCATTCTGAGAAAGAGAAAATATAGATTTGGAGCAATTGCATATCAAATTAATCATTACAGTTTGTTATGAGATTGAGTATCGCATATATCAACTTGTTCCAGTTTTGTAAGCCCCTTAATAGCACTTTTAAATAGAGCAATTAATTTTTTTCTTCATTAACTTTAATTATGATTAGAAGCCTAGAAATATTGGAGCAACTTCAAAAAAACAAGCCTGCTTATTAACTGGGTTTTCTCAAGTTCTCACAAATCACAGTGACACCAACAGCATCAGTGTGGGGCTCATTAAAAAGAAAAATAAGTAAACCATAGAAATTAGATAAGGTATGTTAGTTTAAGGTTTCAATCATTCATTGCAACAATGAAGCAAAGGAAAGATAATAGCTGATTATATACTTTCCTACTACTCTTAATATATAATTTTATGTAATGAGATATATTAAGTACAGATCTTGAAGGTATGTTTAAGTGGCAACCAGAACGTGTTCATAGGGCACACCCTATTAATAACAATGGAATTTCCACAATAATAATGGCAACAAATATGCTACTTTGCTTTTATTAAGTGCTATAAAATTGACTAACACATTTATATCTCTGTATCAAGAAGATTTTGACTAGTTATTGCGTACAAATATTATTAGACTTAATTTTCTTTTATAGCTCTGATTGTTTTCTACTGATGAGTGAAGTAAGCAAATTATAAAGTGACATAGAATTATCTATTCTGAATTAGCAGCATTATTTCTTTGAGAAATCATGTTTGATATCAGCATGCATGTGTTACAACAATCAACCTTTTCTGTGAAATTAGGAAACTAAGGTATTTCACTTACGAAATAATAAAATATATTGCATTTTCTATACATTGTCTGAAGTTTTCCCATTTAGCTAGTTACATCTGAATTGATCAGAATATTTGGCAAAAAAATAAAAATTACTAGCTTTGAAAAAAAGAGGAAAAGCAGAGAGGAAATAAATTCATAGAAGAAAAAAATATACATAGTGAATGGTTGTTTGATGATTGTTTATACAAATTTACTATATATAATAACATCTTTTTTTCTTTCTTGAGACGGAGTCTTGCTCTGTTGCCCAGGAGGGAGTACAGTGGCATGGTTTCAGCTCACTGCAGCCTCTGCCTCCTGGGTTCAAGTGATTCTCCCACCTTAGCCTTCTGAGTAGCTGGGACTACAGGCACGCTAATTTTTGTATTTTTAGTAGAGACAGGTTTTTGTCATGTTGGCCAGGCTGCTCTCAAACTCCTGTTCTCAAGTGATCTCTGCCTGCCTCGGCCTCCCAAAGTTCTGGATGACAGACATGAGCCACTACCCGGCCAACTACATATAATAATATCTTAATATCTGAAAAATAACACTTTCATTTAAAAATAGGAAATCAGAATTTTTCCTTTTTTCTTTTTTTTTTTTTTTTTTTGAGACAGAGTTTCACTCTTATTGCCTGGGCGAAGTGCAATGGCATGATCTCGGCTCACTGCAACCTCTACCTCCTGAGTTCAAGCGATTCTCCTGCTTTAGCCTCCTGAGTAGCTGGGATTACAGGTGCCCACCACCACGCCCAGCTAATTTTTTTGTATTTTTAGTAGAGACAGGGTTTCATCATGTTGGCCAGGCTGGTCTCAAACTCCTGACCTCAGGTGATCCACCCACCTCGGCCTCCCAAAGTGCTGAGATTACAGGCCTGAGCCACAGCACCAGGCTAGAATTTTCCAATTTTAAATTACAAGATATAAAATGTGTGGCCCCTTATTATTATAATACTAAATATTTTCAAAAGTTCATTATATAGGCAAATACATATTCCATACATTTTGAAATTTAAGAAAATATTGTCTTTCTTATAGTGATAAATATATAATTTACTATTATCCCCTCATATTTTCATGTTATAGTAAAATTCAATATAGATTTATAATGGTAGATATGAAATGGTTGGTATAATACAAATGGTAGGTAGGAAATGGTAGGTATAACATTAAAATTGATCTTTTTTCCTAGTATTTTTTGTTTTTTTTCCTTCAAAACTCTGATTAAGATGGCTTTTTCATCAAATTGACAAATGTTTTTATTATTTAAAGTGGTGAATAAACTTGATATTGCTTACAAACATAAGCTCTCTAGAACTAGACCTTATACATGACAGTTTCACAATTTGATTTTATTGAAATTTAATGGAAATAGTAACAGTAGAATCAGTAATTCTAAATTATTTTTACCTGCCTTGTTTTTATAACTCAACATAGATTTGGGCCAGGACCAGTAAAAAGAAAAAAAATACTCTCTTGTTCAAAGGCTTTACTAATAACTTCTTAAATTTCAATAATTAACTCTAGACCCATACTCTAATTATATGCACAAGTTCTGAATAATTATGTCAATGTATTAATAGTTAAAACTGTCTTATCTGTAAAAAAGGGAATTTAATAGTATCTTTTTCATAAATAGTACTCCAATTATTATATGCATAGGTGAATTATTTATAAAAATGTTATACTCTTTTTCATAGGGTGGGCACAATGCATAATCCATCCTTATTCTTCTTAAAGTGATAATTTAATTCTTTTCTTTAGCTGTTGTTAAGGAGTGGTAACCGAATTACTCACTCTACCTTGCTCACAATTTATTCTCAATTATGAGTATATTAACATAAATGAAATTGCTACTTTATTTTGCCTACATATCCCATTTGAGAGGACCAAAGTCTTCAAGTTTAGGCAAATTTAGCTGTAACATAAAGTATGATTGTTATGCTCAGTAGAGCATTAAAAAGAGACATACTATTTAAATGTGAAATGCTCAGTGTTCTTTATTCCACACAGAACTTCAAAGAAACGAACACTGATACATAAAAAATCTAGCAACTGCTAATACAGAAGACATTATTTTCTTTTATCTTCAAAAGGTTGTTATATAGCTAGTTACACAGAACTATAGTATAAAAAGAAATGTTAGACATAAAGATACATTCTATGTTTCTCTGTATTTACTCCATTATAAATATATACATATATGTTTTTAATTTTTAAATATACCTTGCCAACACCCTTCACCTGAATATCCCCAGGAATACATCTCTAGTTGATTAGCTGGGTTGTATGACTCACTATAGTAAGGAAAAACACTCACCATGGGAAGCAATGGGTCTCAGTAAGAGGTTATTAGAAAGAATCTCATATAGGCCTGGGACTTTGGTTGGGTAATTTTGGGGAAGGCCTAAGGAGCAGGGATTTACTCTAGATCAGGTGTTGTCAGAAAGTAGGGAGAATTCTATGATCGTTTGTTAATAAATCTTATTAACAGGGAGGGTAGATTAGAGCCTGGATAATGCTGGAATTACTAAAGGAGCAGTTGTCACTTGATAGGATTTGGATCTGTGTCTCCATCAAATCTCATGTCGAATCATAATCCCCAGTGTTGGAGGTGCAGCCTGGTGGGAGGTGATTGGATCATGGAACCAGAGTTCTCTTGAATGGTTTAGTACCATTCCTGCTTGGTACTGTCCTTGTGACAGTGAGTGAGTTCTTGTGAGATCTGCTTGTTTATAAATGTGTAGCACCTTCCCCCTCACTCTTTCTCTTGCTCCTGCTCCTGCTGTTTAATACATGTCTGCTCCCACTTCTCCTTCCGCCATGATTGTAAATTTCCTGAGGCCTCCCGAGAGGCTGAGCAGATGCCAGCATCATGCTTCGTGTACAGCCTGTAGAACCATGAGCCAATTAAACCCACTTTCTTTATATATTACCAAGTCTCAGGTATTTCTTTATAGCAACGTAAGAACAAACTAATATATCACTCATTTTTTGCTGAGAAATCACTATTGGTATTTTGAGGTTTTCACAGTGGTGCTGTTTTTGTCTCACTTTACCATGCAGTATTGAGGTTGATGTTACGTAAGATGGTTTATTTCCAACTGGAGAACAACATAGACTAGCAATGAACGTCATACCAATTCCTGAATGTCAGCAAAATTCTTTCTTCTGTTTTAGCTTAGTATTACCATTCAGAGGTTATTCTGATAGCTAAAAAGATACACAGAAATATAGATGAATAGAAAATAGGTGAATGAAAAGACTTATTCTATCTCTTTCTATTATTTATGTATATGTATTTGTAGATATGTGTGTAGCTGTGTATGCAAAATACATCTAGTATTGCTAAAACTTTTGCACATAACTATGTGCCCTTTAAACTATGTGTTTAATATCTAAAAATTTATTCATATCCATCAAATATTTATTAAATAATTACTATGTTCAGGTGCTGGAGGACAGCAGTGGAACAAAATAGGATTTTTCTTTCATAGAGCTCATATTCTAGTTGAGGGAAGAAACACAGACAAATCTAAAATCCTACAAGGAAATACATAATATTACAGATAATGATAAGTTATATAAAGAAAAAATAAAGAAGAACAAAGAAGAGAAAGGTTCTGGGAAGGAATTAGTATGCTATTGTGTCTGGGTGGTCAGGGAAGACCTCATTGCATTATTGCAAGGATCTGAAAGAATTAAGAAAACCAATCACATGGATTTGTGGACAAAATATTCCAGGCAACGGGAGCAGCAAATTCAAGTGCCCTTAGAGAGAATGTTCATGTCCTATCAAGCAGCATTGATTACACCAGTAAGGTGTAGGGGGGTGAGATAGAAAGACAAAAATAGTGATTAAGTCATTAAGGTAGTGGTCATGTCAGATTTTGTTGGATTTTTCAGTCAATTTTATATCTGGTTGTAATATAATTGGGCTTAGCTTTTAGAATCATCACTCTGGTGACTAGTAGAGAAAAGAATGTGAGATTTGGTTAAAGATGAAATGAGGAGAATTGTTGAAAGCAATTACAATAATCTAGGGTAGAAATATTGTGATGTAGACCAGAGTGGAAGAAGTAGAAGAAGTACAAATGTCGCTTCATTCTGAATCTGTTCCAAGGTAGAATCTTTATGGATGACAAATCTTAGCTCCAGCAGGCACCATAAGGAGGATAGGGAGGCATGGGTCATGAGATCAGATTAAGAAATTTGCAAAAATATGCAGAGACATTTGTCTAAGAGGTGAGGGTTTACCTGGGTTTCTTGGGATTCTTGTCATTATTGATGTAATTAGGTAAAAGGGTCAGATAGAAATCATTCTCAGTTTCCAGCGCAGTGTGGTGAGGCTTTAAGGTTGCAAAGGCATAGTGAGCTGAGATTTTCCTCAGATGGTGAAAGCAGAAATATCAAATCAGTCTTCAAAATGTGTAGAGACAAAGGCAAATACTTATATACAAATATATTCATTTCAATATTTGAATAAGAGCAACCTAAGTCTGAAAAGTTTCTGATAAATTTTGTTATGTAGTTCCATGTAAAAAGGCATGTTCACATGTATATTTAATTATTATAAAAAGTCAAATGAAAAGGAAAGAGAGAAAAGCCATCTGAAAATTATAGTTAAAATTATGTGTATAAAAATGGATGGAAGTGGACCAAATATTAATTTTGGTAATTGTTTGCTGATATAATATTACTAGTTTCATTTTCTTATTTAAAATGTTTTTTCTATTTTCTTACAAAGAACTGTATTCTTTGTAAGAAAGAAATTCTTACAAATAATCCTATTGTATTTACAATTAGATAAACTATTGTTAATACACGCTCATTACATATGGAGCAAGTACCTAAACTGTATAAATAATGAATGAATTTTTAGATAGGAAAACAAGTTAGCAGAATAGTAATGATGGAAATAATAGAATGTAGTAGGTGGAAAATAGACTTTGAGGGAAAATAGTTATTGTAAAGGTAATGTTTGAGGTTTCATTTATCTGTGTATGTTTTCAGCATGTATTCACTGAGCATCCACTGTGCACTTCTCTTCTAGAAGGGAGGCTACTCTGGAGAATGAGAGAGAAAAGTCCCACATCCTCACAGAGCCTAGTCTTTGGAAACAGGCCCAAAGAATAAAACAGATAAACAGAGATAAAACAGCAATAAGTACTACAAAAAATGCAAACAAACAAAAAACCCTAAGCAATGTAATAGATAGCGTCTGGTGGACCAATTTGATTAAGTATTTGGGGAAAACCTTCCTTAGGTTGATAGATTGTTGTGAAATTTAAATACTAGGAAAGATTAACTTTTAAAATTTACAATTGTAGTTATGCTCTCAATTTGACTATCTCAAAACATTATGCTTAAGTAATGTCAATATGAATAAAACAAATTATTGTGTATATTTTTATTTTTGCTATTACATTACATCATGCAAATAATACCATGGATTGCAATTCAGCCCCAAAACAGAATGAGATAATATCTTTTGCAGGGACATGGATGGAGCTGGAGACCATTACCCTTAGCCAACTAACACAGGAACAGAAAACCACGTAACTCATGTTCTCACTCATAAGTGGCAGCTAAATGATGAGAACACATGGGCACATAGCGGGGGAATAACACACACTGGGGCGTTGCAGAGGGTGGAAGGTGGAAGGAGAGAGGGGAGGGAATCAGGAAAAAATAACTAATGGGTACTAGACTTAATACCTGGGTGAGGAAATAATCTGTACAACACACTCCTGTGATACGGGTTTACCTATGTAACAAAATTGCACTTGTACCCCTGAACTTAAAAAAGTAAAAAAAAAAAAAATCTAATTATATTTGATACCTATTGGGGAACTGGTTGATTTATAGTTATTTGTTTATATTTTCATTTGGTGAATAGGATGTTTTACTTATTACTTTATCCTTCCTTTTGGTTACAGCATTATGCCATTGGATAGTCAGGTAATATATTAACAAAGATTTCTCTCAGCATTTTAGTGATAATTCAGGATTTTTTTTCCTTAACATTGGCTATTATTCTTAAAACTCTCAACGCATTCTCGATAGGGTTGCTTGCTTATTTCTTGTAAGTTTGTTAAAGTTCTTTGTAGATTCTGGATATTAGCCCTTTGTCAGAAGTATACATTGCAAAAATTTCCTCCCATTCTGTTGGTTGCCTGTTCACTCTGATGATAGTTTCTTTTGCGGTGCAAAAAGTGGGCAAAGGATATAAACAGACACTTCTCAGAATAAGACATTTATGTGGCCAATAAACATATGAAAAAAAAACTCATCATCACTGGTCATTAGAGAAATGAAAATCAAAACCACAATGAGATACCATCTCATGCCAGTTAGAATGGCGATCATTAAAAAGTAAGGCAACAACATTGGCTGGAGAGGATGTGGAGACATAAGAACGCTTTTACATTGTTGATGGGAGTGTAAATTAGGTTCAAACATTGTGGAAGACAGTGGGGCAATTCCTCAAGGATCTAAACCAGAAATACCATTTGACCCAACAATCCCATTACTGGGTATACACCCAAAGGATTATAAATCATTCTACTATAAAGACACAAGCACACGTATGTTTACTGCAGCACTGTTCACAGTTGCAAAGACTTGGAACTAACCCAAATGCCCATCAAAGATAGACTGGATAAAGAAAATGTGGCACATATACACCATGGAATACTATGCAGCCAGGAAGAAGGATGAGTTCAGGTCCTTTGCAGGGACATGGATGAAGCTAGAAACCATCATTCTCAGCAAACAAACACAGAAACAGAAAACCAAACACCACATTTTCTCACTCATAAGTGGGAGCTGAACAATGAGAACACAAGGACACAGGGAGGGGAACATCACACACTGGGGCCTGTTGGGGAGTGGGGGGTTAGGCGGGGAATAGCATTAGGAGAAATATCTAATGTAGATGATGGATTGATAGGTTTAGCAAACCACCATGGCAAATATATACCTATATAACAAACCTTCACATTCTGCACGTATATCCCAAAACTTAAAGTAAAAAAATACATAAATAAATAAAATAAAGGTAAAAAAATCTCTCAACACAAAGCTAAAGAGTTATACTCATTATAATAAAATCTGAAAAAAATTATTTAAACCAATATCACAAAAACTTGCATTAAAACAGAAGAATCTCGACCTATTTCCATCTGAATTTTTTACACTCAGAAAAACATATTGTTTGTCCTTGGTTTTTCTCTTGCTTGCCAGATCACAAATATATTTGATTGCTGGAAGATAAAATATGCATATAAATAATTTTCATATATGACTATAATAAACATGTTTATAACACACTTAGTTTTCTGTTGTACATGATTAATATATATACTTTCATATATATATTTTTTAAGGTAAAACAAAAAAGATAAGCTCTTTCCTCTGATTTATTTGTATGAAATGATTTCTTGTATTTGTAATTGTAATTTTAAATATTTGTTTTTATATTACATGAATTTACAACTTACATTTAACAACACAATTATACACTTAATTTTTAAGTAACACTGCTTATAATTTTTATTATCCTTTTATATATATTATTTTTTACTTTTATTTTTAGTTCAGGGGTACAGGTGCAGGCTTGTTACCTAGGTAAATTTGTTTCATGGGGGTTTGTTGTACAGATTATTTCATCACCCAGATATCAAGCCTAGTATCTATTAGTTATTTTTCCTGATTCTCTCCCTCCTCCCACCCTCCACCCTTCTATAGGCCCCAGAGTGTGTTGTTCCCCTCTATGTGTCCATGTGTTCTCATCATTTAGCTCCCACTTATAAGTGAGAACAAGCGATATTTGGTTTTCTGATCCTATGTTGCAGTTTGCTAAGGATAATGGCCTCCAGTTCCATCCATGTTCATCAGAGGACATGATCTCATACTTTTTTATGGCAACATAGTACTCCACAGTGTATATGTACCACAATTCCTTTAGTGTATAATTGATAGACATTTAGGTTGATTGCAGGTTTTTGCTATTGTGAACAGTATTGCAATGAACATACCTGTGCATGTTTATAACACAATGGTTTATATTCCTTTTGGTATATACCCAGTAATGGGATTGCTGGGTCAAATGGTATTTCTTTCTGTCTTTTGATTTTTGAGGAATCGTTACCCATCTTCCACAATGATTGCACTACTTTACACTCCCTCCAACAGTGTATAAGTGTTGCTTTTTCTTCACAATGGCACCAGCCTCTGTTATTTTTGACTTTTTAATAATACTCATTCTCACTGGTGCAAGATGGTATATCCTTATGGTTTTTATTGGAATTTATCTAATGATTGGTGATGTTGCATCACCATTTTTGCATATGCTTAATGGCTGCATATATGATGTCTTCTTTCGAAAAGTTTTTTCATGTTCTTTGCTCACTTTTTTTATGGTGGTTTTTTTTTTTTTTTTGTAAATTTAAGTTCCTTATAGATAATAGATGTTAAATTTCTGTCAGATGCATAGTTTTGCAAAAGCTTTCTCCCATCTGTAGGTTGTCTTTTTACTTTGTTGGTAGTTTCTTTTGCTGTGAAGAAGCTCTTTAGTTTAATTAGGTCTCATTTGTCAATTTTTGCTTTTGTTGTAATCGTTTTCATCATCTTTGTCATGAAATCTTTGCCAATGCCTATGTCCTGAATGCTATTGCCTAGGTTGTCTTCCAGAATTTGTGTACTTTTGGGCTTTACATGTAAGTCCTTAATCCATCATGAGTTAAATTTTGTATATGGTGTAAGGAAGAGGTCCAGTTTTGATCTTCTACATATGGCTAGCCAGTTATCCAGCACTGCTTATTGAATAGAAAATCTTTTCCCCGATTGCTTGTTTTTGTCAAGTTTGTCAAAGATCAGATAGTAGTAGGTGTGCAGTCTCATTTCTAGGTTCTGTATTCTGTTCCTTTGGTCTATGTGTCTGTTTTGTACCAGTACCATGCTGTTTTGGTTACTGTAGCCCTGTAAAATAGTTTGAATTCAGGAGCTAACTTCCAGCTTTCTTCTTTTTGCTTAGGATTCACTTGACTATTTGGGCTCATTTTTGGTTCTATATGAATTTTAAAATTTATTTTCTAGTTCTATGAAGATTGTCAATGATAGTTTAATAGGCATAGCATTGAAGCTGTAAATTACTTTGGGAAGTATGGTCATTTTAACTATATTGATTCTTCCTACCTATGACCATGTAATGTTTTTACATTTGTTTGTGACATCTCTGATTCCTTTGAGAAGTGGTTTGTAGTTCTCCTTGTAGAAATCTTTCATCTTCCTAGTTAGCTGCATTCCTAGGTGTTTTATTCCTAAAAATTTTATTCCTGAAAATTTTATTCTTTTTGTAGGAACTGTGAATGGGAGTTTGTTCTTGATTTGACTCTCAGATTGACTCTTGTTGGCGTATAGGAATGCTAATAATTTTTCCACGTTGATTTTGTATCCTGAGACTTTGCTGAAGTTGTCAGCTTGGAATAAAAAGTAATTCAGATATAAAAAAATTGGGGCTGAAAAATTTGAAACATAAATATTCAGATTTATTACAGCATTTATTATATTATTACCTATATTCCATTAGTTTGATATATGAAAAAGCAAATTCACATAATTAAAACTCTTGAAGGAATTCATATTAAAGAAATACTTCTTTTATACTTTTCTAACCATTTGGTTGAATTCACACAAGAAGATTTGTAAAAATATGACATGATTGAGGAATCAGAGTACCTCTAGGAGAGGGATAGAACTCTGTTATAAATATTTAATTCATAAGTAAAATTATTTCAATTTTAATATTAACTTTAATAAAATGAAAATATCTTAGCCTCCACTTGTGGAAAAAGGCACCAAATATTTTGAGAATATCTAAATTATTATCATCTGTTACAAAATGAGTAAATAAACCATGTTGTACATTCTATGAGCTTTTTAATGCTTTGATATATTAAATCTTAAACCAACTCAATTGCTTCACTTGCTGATCTGTACATTCTATTGTATTGAACTATAGAAAATAATTATTAAGCACAGCATAAACTTTTACTTAATTTATATTTAAACTTTTTTTTGTTTTTTACATTTAGTTGACATTTACTCCTCTGATTAACTTTGTTATTAATTAAAATGGAGTAAGTTTGCTTTGCTGATATTCTGGATAGGACACACAGAATGCTGATAAAATTTGAGACAGTAGCAACAGCTAAATGTTGACAGCATTGAAGATTTTGTGTTACTTTGCACCAGAATGACAGTACTTTTTGTCCTTTCCTTTCAGAAACACAGTAATGGACAGAAACAGTGTCCAAAAGAGATGCAGTCAGCTAGGGATAAATAAAATATGACTGGTGAGAACTCAGCAGAATTTCTTCATAAAAACTGTAAAAATGGTGACTTAATATTTTTTGAATGGTGTCCTTTCACAGACAAAGCAGAACTGACAGATTAATAGTAGGTATTTTGTTGAATGAGACATTTTGAAACTTCTAAATTTATTCTCGACTTTGATTGATGCTGAGGTATGTAATTTGGTTACCTATTTTGTATCGTTTGACTCTAAAAATGCTTTAAACATGTATAGATAGAAGGCTCTAGGAGCACTTTTAAAGTATTTGCATTGTACACTTTACACACATAATGTGGATAGTTTCTCATGACATGATTGTCTGTAGATAGAAGGCTGTATGAGCACTTTTCTAAAAGCTGATGATACAAACAGAAAAAAAAATGATGATGGAAACCAACAAAAATATACCTGAGCTGAACAGGACTTATTAATTCATCGGGAGAACCTTGGCATGAGAAACAAAAGACATAACTAATGGACTAAAGAATCAATGGGAGAGAGAAAATAAAAATATCTAAACAGTATAAGTGCAGTTAGGAGACAGGTTATGAGGCATAATTGCTAATATCTTATCAGTTGTTCATGCCCTAAGTTAAAGAAGAAAATTATTTTTTCTCAGATATGTCCATTAAGAAGTGCAGAAATATTCTGGAGTCAGAGTGAAAAAGAAAAACCTAGCCATGTTCTTTGATGGATATTTTGTAGTAGAATTCAATTTACATTTATGACTCTTCATACAGTTTTTAAAACTCTACAAAACAATCATAAAGTATCTTCATCATATAGTTCCTCTTTTTTAAATTATACTTTAAGTTCTAGGATCCATGTGCAGAACATGCAGGTTTGTTAAATAGGTATACACGTGCCATGATGGTTTGCTGCACCAGGAGATGGCATCCCATTGTGGTTTTGATTTGCATTTGTCTAATGACTAGTGTTGATGAGTTTTTTTTATATGTTTATTGGCCACATAAATGTCTTCTTTTGAGAAGTGTCCGTTCATATCCTTTGCCCATTTTTTGATGGGTTTGTTTGTTCTTCTTGTAAATTTGTTTAGGTTCTTTGTAGATTCTGGATATTAGCCCTTTGTCAGATGGATGATTGCAAAAATTTTCTCCTATTCTGTAGGTTGCCTGTTCATTCTGATGATAGTTTCTTTTGCTGTGCAGAAGCTCTTTAGTTTAATTAGATCCCATTTGTCAATTTTGGCTTTTATTGTGATTCCTTTGGTTGTTTTGATCATGAAGTCTTTGCCCATGCTGATGTCCTGAATGATATTGCCTAGGTTGGCTTCCAGAATTTTTTATGGTTTTAAATCTCACATTTAAGTCTTTAATCTATCTTGAGTTATTTTTTGTATAGCATGTAAGGGAGGTGTCCAGCTTCAGCTTTCTGCATATGGCTAGCCAGTTTTCCCAACACCATTTGGTAAATAGGTCAGTAAATAGGGAATTCTTTCCCCATTGCTTGCTTTTGTCAGGTTTGTCAAAGATCAGATGGTTTTAGATGTGTGGCGTTATTTCTGAGGCCTCTGTTCTGTTCCATTGGTCTATATATCTGTTTTGGTAGCAGTACCATGCTGTTTTGGTTACTGTAGCCTTGTAGTATAGTTTGAAGTCAGGTAGCATGATGCCTCCAGCTTTGTTGTTTTGGCTTAGGATTGTCTTGGCAATGCGGGCTTTTTTGGTTCCATGTGAAATTTAAAGTAGGTTTGTTCTAATTGTGTGAAGAAAGTCAACGGTAGCTTGAAGGGGATAGCATTGAATCTATCAATTACTTTGGGCAGTATGACCATTTTCACAATATTGATTCTTATTATCCATGAGCTTGGAATGTTTTTCCATTTGTTTGTGTCCTCTATTATTTCCTTGAGCAGTGGCTTGTAGTTCTATTGAAGATGTCCTTCACATCCCTTGTAAGTTGTATTCTTAGGTATTTTCTTCTCTTTGCAGCATTTGTGAATGGGAGTTCACTCATGATTTAGCTGTTTGTCTATTATTGGTGTATAGGAATGTTTGTGATTTATGCACACCGATTTTGTATCCTGAGACTTTGCTGAAGTTGTTTATCAGCTTAAGGACATTTTGGGCTGAGATGATGGGGTTTTCTAAATATACAATTGTGTCATCTGCAAACGGAGACAATTTGATTTCCTCTCTTCCTATCTGAATACCTTTATTTCTTTCTCTTACCTGATTGCCCTGGCCAGAACTTCTAATACTATGTTGAATAGGAGTGGTGAGAGAGGGCATCCTTGTCTTGTGCTGGTTTTCAAAGGGAATGCTTCCAGCTTTTGCCCATTCATTATGGTATTGGCTGTGGGTTTGTCATAAATAGCTCTTATTATTTTAAGATACGTCCCATCAATACCTAATTTATTGAGAGTTTTTAGCTCTTATTATTTTGAGATAAGTTTCATCAATATCTTGTTTATGGAGAGTTTTTAGCATGAAGGGGTGTTGAATTTTATGGAAGGCCTTTTCTGCATCTATTGAAATAATCATGTGATTTTTATCATTGGTTCTGTTTTTGTGACAGATTATGTTTATTGGTTTGCATTTCTTGAACCAGACTTGCATATCAGGAATGAAGCTGACTTGATGGTGGTGGATAAGCTTTTTGATGTGCCACTGATTTCGATTTGCCAGTATTTTATTAAGAATTTTCGCATTGATGTTCATGGGGGATATTAGCCTGAAATTTTCTATTTTTGTTGTGTCTCTGTGAGGTTTTAGTATCAGGATCATGCTGGCCTCCTAAAATGAGTTAGGGAGGAGTCCCTCTTTTTCTATTGTTTGGAATAGTTTCAGAAAGCATGATACCAGCTCTTCTTTGTAACTCTGGTATAATTTGGCTGTGAATCTGTCTGGTCCTGTACTTTTTTTGGTTGGTAAGCTATTAATTGCTGCCACAATTTCAGAGCCTGTTATTGGTCTATTCAGGGATTCGGCTTCTTCGTGGTTTAGTCTTGGGATGGTGTATGTGTCCAGGAATTTATTCATTTCTTCTAGATTTTCTAGTTTATTTGCTTAGAGGAGTTCATAGTATTCTCTGATGGTAGTTTGTATTTCTGTGGAATCAGTGGTGATATCTCCTTTATTATTTTTTATTTTGTCTATTTGATTCTTCTTTTTTTCTTCTTTATTAGTCTGGCTAGGGGTCTGTTTTGTTAATCTTTTCAAAAAACCAGCTCCCAGATTCTTTGATTTTTTGAAGGGTTTTTGTGTCTCTATCTCCTTCGGTTCTTCTCTAATCCTAGTTATTTCTTGTCTGCTGCTAGTTTTTGAATTTGTTTGCTCTTACTTCTCTAGTTCTTTTAATTGTGATGTTAGGGTGTCGATATTAGATTTCCCTCATTCTCCTATGGGCATTTAGTGCTATAAATTTCCCTCTAAACACTACTTTAGCTGTGTCCCAGAGATTCTGGTGCATGTCTTTTTGCTCTCATTGGTTTCAAATAACTACTTTATTTCTGCCTTAATTTTGTTATTTACCCAGTAGCCACTCCGGGGTAGGTTGTTCAGTTTTCATGTAGTTGTGTGGTTTTGAGTGACAACGTACCAGTATCTCTGAGACACAGCTGAAGCAGTGTTTGTTTGAACAACCCTTCAAAAAAAAATCAGTGAAATCAGGAGCTGCGTTTTTGAAAAGATTAACTAAATAGATGGACCACTAGCCAGAATAATAAGAAAAGAGAGAAGAATCAAATAGATACAATAAAAAGTGACAAAGGGGATACCACCACTGATCTCACAGAAATATAAACTACCGAGAGAGAATACTATAAATACCTCTATGAAAATAAACTAGAAAATCTAGAAGAAATGGATAAATTCTTGGACAGTTACGCTCTGCCAAGACTAAACCAGGAAGAAGTCGAATGCCTAAATAGACCAATAACAAGATCTGAAATTGTAGCTGTGGGGAAAAGCAAGAGAGATCAGATTGTTACTGTGTCTGTGTAGAAAGAAGTAGACATGGGAGACTCCATTTTGTTCTGTACTAAGAAAAATTCTTCTGCCTTGGGATTCTGTGACCTTACCCCCAACCCCGTGCTCTCTGAAATATGTGCTGTGTCAAACTCAGGGTTAAATGGATTAAGGGTTGTGCAAGATGTGCTTTGTTAAACAGAAGCTTGAAGGCAGCATGCTCCTTAAGAGTCATCACCACTCCCTAATCTCAAGTACCCAGGGACACAAACACTGCGGAAGGCCGCAGGGACCTCTGCCTAGGAAAGCCAGGTATTGTCCAAGGTTTCTCCCCATGTGATAGTCTGAAATATGGCCTCGTGGGAAGGGAAAGACCTGACCGTCCCCTAGCCCGACACCCGTAAAGGGTCTGTGCTGAGGAGGATTAGTAAAAGAGGAAGGAATGCCTCTTGCAGTTGAGACAAGAGGAAGGCATCTGTCTCCTGCCCGTCCCTGGGCAATGGAATGTCTCGGTATAAAACCCGATTGTATGTTCCATCTACTGAGATAGGGAAAAACCGCCTTAGGGCTGGAGGTGGGACATGCGGGCAACAATACTGCTTTGTAAAGCATTGAGATGTTTACGTGTATGCATATCTAAAAGCACAGCACTTAATCCTTTACCTTGTCTATGATGCAAAGACCTTTGTTCACGTGTTTGTCTGTTGACCCTCTCCCCACAATTGTCTTGTGACCCTGACACATCCCTCTCTCGGAGAAACACCCACGAATGATCAATAAATACTAAGGGAACTCAGAGGCTGGCGGGATCTTCCATATGCTAAACGCTGGTTCCCCGGGTCCCCTTATTTCTTTCTCTATACTTTGTCTCTGTGTCTTTTTCTTTTCCAAGTCTCTCGTTCCATCTTACGAGAAACACCCACAGGTGTGGAGGGGCAACCCACCCCTTCATGTAGCAGTAATTAATAGCCTACCAACCAAAAAAAACCCAGGGCCAGAGAGATACAGAGCTGAATTATACCAGAGGCACCAAAAGGAGGTGGTAACCTGCCTTCTGAGACTATTCCAAACAATAGAAAAAGAGGGACTCCTCCCTAACTCATTTTAGGAGTCTAGCATGATCCTGATACCAAAACCTGACAGAGACACCACAAAAATAGAAAATTTCAGGCCAACACCTCTGATGAACATTGATGCGACAATCCTCAATAAAATACTGGCAAGCTGAGTCCAGCAGCACATCAAAAATCTTATCTTCCACGATCAAGTCAGCTTCATCCCTGGGATGCAAGTCTGGTTCCACAAACACAAATCAATAAACGTAATCCATCACAAAAACTGAATCAATGATAAAAACTACATGATTATCTCAATAGATGCAAAAAAGGCCTTTCATAAAATTCAACACCTGTTCATGCTAAAAACTCTCCATAAACAAGGTACTGATGAAACTTACCTCAAAGTAGTAAGAGCTATTTAAGACAAACCCACAGCCAATATCATACTGAATGGGTAAAAGCTGGAAGCATTCCCTTTGAAAACCAGCACAAGACAAGAATGCCCTCCCTCACCACTCCTATTCAACATAGAATTGGAAGTTCTGGCCAGGGCAATCAGGTAAGAGAAAGAAATAAAGGTATTCAGATAGGAAGAGAGGAAATCAAATTGTCTCTGTTTGCAGATGACATGACTGTATATTTAGAAAACCCCATCATCTCAGCCCAAAATGTCCTTAAGCTGATAAACAACTTTAGCAAAGTCTCAGGATACAAAATCGGTGTGCATAAATCACAAACATTCCTATACACCAATAATAGACAAACAGCTAAATCATGAGTGAACTCCCATTCACAAATGCTACAAAGAGAAGAAAATACCTAAGAATACAACTTACAAGGGATGTGAAGGACATCTTCAATAGAACTACAAGCCACTGCTCAAGGAAATAAGAGAGGACACAAACAAATGGAAAAACATTCCAAGCTCATGGATAATAAGAATCAATATTGTGAAAATGGTCATACTGCCCAAAGTAATTGATAGATTCAATGCTATCCCCTTCAAGCTACCATTGACTTTCTTCACACAATTAGAAAAAACCTACTTTAAATGTCATATGGAACCAAAAGAGAGCCCACATTGCCTAGACAATCATAAGCAAAAAGAACAAAGCTGGTGTCACCATGCTATCTGACTTTAAGCTATACTATAAGGCTACAGTAACCAAAACAGCGTGATACTGCTACCAAAATAGATATATAGACCAATGGAACAGAACAGACCTCAGAAATAATCCCACACATCTACAACCATCTGATCTTTGACAAATCTGACAAAAACAAACAATGGAGAAAGGATTCCCTATTTACTAAATGGCATTGGGAAAACTGGCTAGCCATATGCAGAAAAGTGAGATTTCTTTTTCTATTTAATTTCTTAAAAATTATTGCTTACCATTAAGCAAAAACAATAAGACTCAAAGTGCAGTATCTTATGTTAACACTGTTTGGATTCCTTGGAAAAGAATATAGCTATAAACTAAAATGAATGGTAAAATGGACATCATTCGTTATATAAGATAAAATAGCATTTCTTTTTGAAGTACCTTGAGAGTAACAAAGTATTATGTTGATTTCTCTTGAATTAATCACTAATAGTTTCAGTTTTATAGCATTTTAAAGAGTAATATGATTAATGAGCTATTTTAACACTGAAAAGTACTTTAACAAAGTATTAGACTATATCCGAAGACAATTTAGTAAGTAATATCTCTACATTTTAAGGGCATATGATTTAAGACATATGCTAGTACTTAGTTTTAGTATTTAGTGTTTTGTATTATCTGAACCAACAGACACAATAAAATCTTAATTGTGTATTAAATAAAATTATTTAATATTTGCAGCAGCTTGAATGGTTTGTGTCCCCTGAAAAATTCATGTTGGAAGTTAAACCCCAATGTAATAGCATTAAGAGGGAGAGACATTAGGAGGTGATTAGGTCATGAGGGAAGAGTCTTCATCAATGATATCAGTCACCTTAAAAAAGGGCTGGAGGAAACTAGTCAGCCCATTTTTGTCCTTCCACCTTCCACCATGTGAAGACATAGTTTTCATACATTCTGCCATGTAATGATGCAGTAAGAAAGTCCTCACCAGACACTACTGGTGTCTTGATCTTGGATCTCTCAGCCTCCAGAACTATAAAAACTAATTTCTGTTTTATATAAATTACTCAAAGTATTTTGCTATAGCCACACATTAAACTGAGACAATATTTACAAACAATATGCATATCTTTTTGTAAAAACTATGTTTCTTAAAACCTAAAGAATGTTTTTCTGGAAAGAGTTTCAAAAAAAGTTTGATTTTGGAGAAAAACTGATAAGAAAATGTTTTTCTAATTTTTATTGATGTTTAGGCATCTGCATGTATTTGAAAGTTTTGTACATGAGTCTTCCAATATTTCATGTCGATAGCTAATGCACACATAATCTTGATAGTGCTACTATGTCACCTTGGAATACATTTTATTAATAATAATTGAAGTAATAGTTGTTGGTAACAGTTTTTAAAGTTTTATTTTGTGCTAGATATGATATTAAAGTCTTTACATATATTGACCAAATTTATTTTAAAACAATCTTGTTAAGAAGAGACACTCATAGCCTAGTTATAAAATAAAAAACCTGAAAATAAGAAATAGTAGATCAGCGACTGATGCAGGCTGAGACAATTTAGGTATCAGGCTTGAGAAATAAGCCTCAATCTGTTTTTCAACAACATTTTAACTATATTGATAGTAATAAAATCCATGATTTACTGTGTATTAATATATAAAATGTTTCTTAAAGCAAATTAGTTGGCATACTCAAGTAACATAGTAATTCAGAACTATAAAAAATATTAATTACCATATAATAAATATATTCCTTGATTACTAAAAGGCCTCCTTTAAACCTAATGTTTTATTACAACACTGATACATGAATATTGAGTGAAATAACTGATATGTGAATAGTCAGTGAAATAAGACTCATTCTACCTGAGACAACTTTAAAGTCACACATGGATTGTGCTGATTGTGAGAAAAAATATACTTTTAAAAATTCAGATTATATGTGTTTCCATACATTCCAATCATTAGAATTTGCATACTGCATAAAGACTCACAGATCATGTCTAATCTTTCCTACAGGAGAGTGAAGACCATTATTCTGTTCCTGTGATTCTTCAAGTGTAAAGCTTGATAGAGACTGAATTGATTTGGTTAAATTGTTGCAGTCAAATCTAAAATGAACATGTGTCAGATAATTTACTTAAGTCATTAATAATGAATAAATTAATAGTTGTTACAACTTAAAAAGCATTTGAAAAGCTTAGGATATATAGGCAATTTAACCAATATATTTTAGGAGATTACTGGTTGGATACAAAACTAGTGAATGTGCAAAAGTGCAAGAAACCACAATATCTGGCTTTCACTGTTATTTGAATCTCTACCAGACAAAAATCCACATGTTAACTTCTGCTCAAGAATTTAAAATTACTTTACTAATAAAATGTCATACTCTGAACTTCAGTGGACAATAACTTCTTATAAATATGTCTAACATTTAGAATAAGTTTTAACACTAAACTAAACATTTTTTAAAACTTAAAAGATCTCATTTCATTTCCATTTCAGCTAATCTTCCCATGCCTTAAACTTATGTTCCTTCCATCTCCAAAATTTTAAAATTCAGCCTATGTATGAACCATTTCTTATGGGTTTCTTTCTCTTATTTCCACTACATTTAAACTTGATATTTGTATACAGCCAACCCTATTGTTTACAAGGTGGAAACTAGCTCTTGACTTTATTTACCTCTAACCTTAACCTAAATCTTTGATTTATTTTGAAACCTCTTTGTTGCCAGAATCTTCCCCTTTCTAACACACTGCCCTTTTTAACACAATCCAACACATCCCAGCATGCCCCTATTTTTCTTATGTGTTTCTACTTCTTTGTGGCTGAAGATTGCTAATGACAATTTCATTCTGGTGTTATTACTCTTAGCCATTTCTTCAGCCTCCAATCTTCCTTTAATTTAATTTTATTCTTATATCAGTAATGCCTACAGCTTGCTTGGGGGCATATTGCATTAAGAGGAAGATAATATGTGGTTAGCATACACATGCATGATAGTCTACCTTCCAGGAGAGTCCGGCCCAACAAACCAAATGCTTGTTTTCCTTTGGTCTGGAATGAAATGATGATCTGATGACATTGTAGTCATTGTCTACTAACTGGAAGAGCCAAATTAGCTAGAAATAGGGAGATGCCGGGAATAGGATGAGGGTACCGAGTAGTATTTAAAACTCATATTTATTCCTCCATTAAGAATCTATTTTCACAGAACTACCCTGATTCTATCTTTAGCCTTGTCTTGTTTGCAATTATTATCATTTATAAAGACAAAATAAAGACAATCTCAAAAACGTTGATGTTTCTTTTGACAGACTTCAACAACCCTTTCTTTTTGAGGCTCTCTGTAAGCATATTATACTCTCGTTTACTTTGATTTGATATATTTATATCACCTATTTATTTGTTGTTTTAGAACAAAATGCGAACTAATGTTGTTGTAATTTGGAAAAAAATATTAATTACAACTCTGAAAACTCATTGGTTAAATATAAAGTAAAAATTAGATTATTTCGTGCTATGCTTTGCATTTGGGTAGGCACTTAAATCCATCCTTCATCATTGCCAAACATTACTGCAAGCAGTATCTATTTTCATAAGGTTTAAACTTTTTCAAGCACAAAATTCACAATGTATAAATTAAAAAGTGCTTATTAACAGACACATTGACAAACATTCCTTAAATACTATCACAGAAATTTTTAAAATACATAGTTGAGGTATTCTTGTTAATATGTATTTCTCAATAGAAAACTGATCAGAGAAAGAATCTGCCTTCTCAGAGTAAAGTGTTGCTTTCTATTTTTATTTATGTCTGAAGAAGAAACACTGGAGAAGTCTTCCTATTAAATGAAACTCACCAAGTGTGATAATAACTGACATTCAATAATAGTAAAAGTTTAAACATTTTTCATATTGAATTCCTAAGGCTACTCTTTAAATGTATTGAATTGAATTACCTTAAACATTTTCTTTCATTTCACTGCATTATTTGCTTTTGTGTTTAGAATTAATGTGTTTTAAAATATTTGAATATATGACATTAGAATGCATGACTATTAATCTTATTAATGAGCTATGATTATAAAAGAACTAACATTTTGCCACAGAATAATAATGGCTGATCCTTACCTAGGAAAACTTTCCGTAAGCAGTATGAATGAACCAAGATATCAAATCTTATTTTCTTTAAAAACTTACATTTTATTGCTTTTTGGCATATTTAACACTAAATTTATTGGCCTTTTGGAAAGTATCACTATGATTCAATTTTCATCAAAATAACAAACCTCTAGACAAACTATAAAATCTTGTGATAGATCTTAAGCTCAGTTCATAAGCCATGAAGCACAATGCCCTAGGACCAGAAGATTTTTGTGTAATTACATAGACATTACATTATATATAAGCACTGTCAAATAATGTGAGAATTTGACATTTCAATTGTTCACACTTGCAACAGACATTATTGCCAGCTGCAGGAGATGAAAAGATGGCAAATGAGGTATGGAAGAAAGAAGGAGCAAAGTTCAGAAAATAGTAAGGACAGGGCCAATGTACAATTTTTTTAATGTATAAACTGACACCTTTTGTTTCTAATTGTAATGGTTAATATTAGGTGTCACCTTGATTCGATTGAAGGATGCTTAGATGGCTAGTAAAGTATTATTTCTGGATGTGTCTGTGAGGTGTTGCCTGAGGAGACTGACATTTGAGTCAGTGGACTGGGAGAGGAAGACCCACTCTGAACGTGGGTGGGCAGTATCCAATCGGCTGCCAGGTAAAGAGCTGGGATAAGCTGGCTTGCTGAGTCTTCTGGCTTTCATCTTTCTCCCGTGCTGGGTAGTTCCTTCCATTCCTCTCGCTCTTGGAAATGAGACTCCACGTTCTTTGGCTTTTGGACTCTTGGACTTACACCAGTGGTTTGCTGGGCTGAGGGCTCTCAGGACTTTGGCCATGGACTGAAGACTGAACCGTTGGCTTTCCTACTTTTGAGGCTTTTGGAATGGACTGAGCCACTACTGGCTTCTTTCTTCCCCAGCTTGCAGACAGCCAGTCATGGGACTTTGCCCTGTGATCCTGTAAGCCATTTCTCCCTAACAAGCTCCCTTCATATATACATATATCCTATTAGTTCTGTCCTTCTGGAGAACCCTAACACACTAATTAATCCAACCCTAATACACTAATTAATACTTTTGTGTTCTTTTTTCTTTTTAAAAAATTTTTAAAATTTTTTATTTTAAAGGAACATGATATGTGTATAGTTTTATGAGGTACATGAGGTAATAATCACATCAGGGTAAATAAGGTATCCATAACATCAAGTATTTGTCCTTTGTGTTGCAAACAATCCAATTATATTATTTTAATTATTTTTAAAATGTACAATTAAATTATTTCTGACTATACTCACCTTATTATGCTATCAAATACTAGGTTTTAGTCATTCTTTCTGGGGTTTTTTTCCCATTAACCATCCCCTTCCCCTTGCTACCACCCGCTACCTTTCTCAGTCCTTAGTAACCATCCTTCCATTAATACTCTCTATCTCCATGAGTTCAATTCTTTTAATTTTAGATCCCACAAATAAGTGAGAACATGCAAAGTTTGCTTTCTGTGCCTGGGTTATTTTACTTAATTATCTACAGTTTCATCCATATTGTTGCAAGTGACTGGATCTCATTTTATATGGCTGAATAGTACTTCATTGTATTTCTGTACCACAATTACTTTATCCATTCATCCTCTGATAGACACTTAGGTTGCTTCCAAATATTGGCTATTCTGAATTGTGCTGTAGTAAACATGGGAGTGGAGATATCTCTTTGATATACTGATTTCCCTTCTTGTGGGTATATATCCAGTATTAGGATTGCCAGTTTATATGGTAGCTCTATTTTTATTATTTAAGGAACCTCCATACTGTTCTCCATAGTGGTTGTACTAATACACACTCCCAACAATAGTGTACAAATGTTACCTTTTCTCCACATTCTCTTCAGCATTTGTCTGTCTTTTGGATAAAAGCCATTTTAAGTGGGGTAAGATATCTCATTTCAATTTTGATTTGCATTTCTTTAATGATCAATAATGTTGAGCACCTTTTCTTATGCCTGTTTGACATTTGTATGTCTTCTTTGGAGAAGTGTCTATTTATGTCTTTTGTCCATTTTTAAATAAGATTATTAAATTTTCTCCTACAGAGATACTTGAGCTCCTTATATATTGTGGTTATTAATCCGTTGTCAGATGGGTAGTTTTCAGATATTTTTTCCCATTCTGTGTGTTGTCTCTTTACTTTGCTGATTGTTTACTTTGTTGTGCAGAAGGGTTTTTTTTAACTTTTAAATTCAGGGGTACAAGTACAGGTTTGTTACATAGGTAAACTTGTGCCATGGAGGTTTGTTTTACAGATTATTTCCTCACCCAGGTATTAAGCCTAGTACCCATTAGTTATTTCCCTGATCCTCTATCTCCTCTCACCCTCCACTCTCCAAAAATCCCCAGTATGTGTTGTTTCCTCTGTGTGTCCATGGTTCATGTGTTCTCATTATTTAGCTCCCACTTATAAGTGAGAACATGTGGTTTTTGTTTTTCTGTTCCTGTGTTAGTTTGCTAAGGATAATGGCCTGAAGCTTTATCCATGTCCCTGCAAAGGACATGACATTATTCTTTTTTCATGGCTGCATAGTATTCTATGATGTGTGTGTGTGTGTGTGTGTGTGTGTGTGTGTGTGTGTGTGTATATATATATATATATATATATATATACACCACATTTTTTAATCCAGTCTATCATTGATGAGCTTTTAGGTTGACATACCCAAAGGAATAGAAATCACTCAATTATAAAGACACATGCACACATATGTTCATTGCAGCACTATTCACAATAGCAAAGACATGGAATCAGCCTAAATCCTTTGCAGGTTTTTAACTTGATTTGATTCCATTTGTTTGTCTTTGCTTTGGTTGCCTGAGCTTGAGGGATATAACTAAAAAAAATCTTTGTCTACTTTAATGTCATGAAGAGTTTCTCTAATATTTACTTTAAGTAGTTTCATATTTTGATTTGATTGTTATATATGCTAAGAAATAGGGTTCTAATTTCATTTTTCTGCATATGGTTATCCAGTTTTCCCAGAACCATTTATTGAAGAGACTGTCTTTTCCTCAATGTATGTTCTTGGCACCTTTGCTAAAAATGAATTCACTGTAGATATATGGATTTATTTCTGGTTTCTTCATTCTGTTCAACTGGTCATGTGTCTGTTATTACACCAGTAGCACGCTGTTTTGATTACTATAGCTGTGTAGTATATCTTGAAGTCAGGAAACGTGATTTCTCCAGTTTTGTTCTTTATTCTCAGGATAGCTTTGGCTATTCCTGCACTTTTGTGATTCCATATAAATTTCAGGATTGTGTTTTCTATTTCTGTGAAGAATGCTATTGGTATTTTGAAAGGGCTTGCGTCGAATCTGTATATTGTTTTGTTAGCATGGACATTTTAAAGAATATTAATTCTTCCAAACCATGAACATGAAATATTTTTCAATTTGTTTTGTTTGTTCTTTTCAATTAACTGCATCAAAGTTTTGTAGTTTTCATTGTAGAGGTCTTTAACTTCTTTGGTTAATTCCTAGGTATTTAACTTTATTTGTAACTATTATTAACAAAATTATTTTATTGATGGATTTTTTAGAATGTTTGAAATTCAAATATAGACATTCTACTGATTTTTGTATGTTAATTTTATATCCTGCAACTTGACAGAATTTATCAATAATAATAGTTTTTTAGTGGAGTCTTTAGGTATTTTTCAATATATGATCGTATCATCTGAAACAAGGATACTTTGGTACCCTCCCAATTTAATGCCCTTTACTTCTTTCTCTTGTCTAATTGCTCTAGCTACCACTTCCAGTACCATGTTGAACAACAGCCTCTCAAAGGGCAACAGGAGCGCTGGGGGATGGACACCTAAGGCTGGCTCTGCTGGAGCTGTCATGTATGAACAAAGTTCCCCAGTGCCATGCCTACTGAAGCTTCATATCGGTCTAATCTCCAAGGAGATCCCCCTGCCAATTCAAGTGTCTATGGGAGTTGTGGGGTCTCCTGCAGCCAGCATCCCAGAAGTCCATGGCAGGAGTTGGCAGGGCCCCAGCCTGTTCACTCACCTTCTTCCTGAAGAGCAATTCAGAGCTAGGAGCCAGCCCTAGAGTTCAGGCACCCCATGTGTGATTCCCAGCTTCTTCCCTCTTCAGCCTCAGCATCTGCATCTTTTATCCATTCGTATTTGAGCTTTTATTTCTAAAGAGCTGTTCAAATAATGTTGGTTTAATCAAAATCCCGGTCTCTTTCAGTGTGAGCAGCCCTTCCTGAATGCATCTCGTCACCATCTTTTCCTCTCTTCTTACTTTCATGATAATATCTTTGATGTACACATTTTGAAAGTTTCATTGAAGTCAAATATCTCTTTTTTGCTTTAGTTCCTTGTGCTTTTGATATTATGTCTAAGAATCCATTATTAAATCCAAGGTCATGAAGATTTACCCCTATGTTTTTTTCTAAAGATATTATGTTTTAGTTCTTTTGTTTATGTTATTGATCCATTTTGAGTTAACTTTTATTTATGTTGTGAAATAGGTTTCCAACTTAAGTATTTTGCATGTGAATATTCAGTTTTCCAAGCAACTTCTGTTGAACAGACTATTCTTTTCCTATCAATTGATCTTGATACCTTTGTTGAAAATCATTAACTCTGTATGTATGGATTTATTTCCAAGCTCTTTATTTAATTTTATTGCTGTATATATTCCTATCCTTATACCAATACCTCATTGCTTTGTTTATTGTAGCTTTGTAGTAAGTTTTACATTTGTTAAATATGAGTCTTCCAATTTTATTCTTTTTTTCTCAGTATTGTTTTGGATGCTTGGAATCCCTTGTGATTCTATATTCGTTTGAGGATCAGCTTTTTCATTTCTACAAATTTTTATAGGGATTTGATAGAAATTATAATATTGTCTTGAACTGTACATAACTTTGGGTAGCATTGCAATTGTGATGATATTAAAGTCTCCAATCCATGAAGGTGAAATTTTTTTTTTCACTCATTTAGGTGCTCTTTAATTTCTTTCAACAATATTTTGAAATTTTTAGTGTATAAGTCTTTTACCTCTTTGGTTAAATTTATTACTAGGTATTCTATTCTTTTGAAAGCTATTGTAAATGGAATTTTTTTCTTAATTTTCTGTCTGAATTGTTTACTTCTGCTATATCAAAGCACAGCTATTTTTTTTCTGCTCCATTCTCTCCACTCTCCTTTTCTGGAACTCCTCTTAAGTATATGCTGGTATGCTTGACAGGGTAGCACAGGCCTCTTCCACTTTGTTCATTTTTCTTCAATCTTTTTCCTTCTGCTTCTCAGACTAGATAATTTCAGTGAACTTCTCATCAGGTTTGCTGACCTTTTCTTCTGCCTGATCACATCTGTTATTGTAACCTTCTACTAATATTTTTATTTCAGTTACTGTAATTTTTAGCTTTAGGATTCTGTTTTGCTCCATTTTATTTCTGTTTCTGTATTGACATTTTTCATACTCCATTAATTTTTGTTAGAATTGGACATTTTGAATATTATAATGTATTTAACTTAGATATTAGATTTCCTCCCTCCTCATGCTGTGTTTTTACTGCTTAATGTGAGTCATATCTGTTTGTTTGTTAAGTACCTTTCTAAACTATTTTGTAAAGTCATTATTCTTTGTCATGTGTAGTTTCTGAACTGTTTTTCTTTAGCTTGTGTTTTGGTAGTGTTTTAAAAGAAATATCTTTGAACATCAGGAGCCAAAAGAAAGAAGGGAAAGAAAGAAAAACAGAGAAGAGAAAGAGCAAGAATAAGAATAAATAAACACAACCTTTGCCCCATCTTTGCAGATTGGCTGTGTACTGAGGTACTCCTTTAACATCTAGCCAGGCCATTTCAGCTGGTGGTGAAAGTTCAGAGTCATATTAGAGTCTTATCATGATGTATCTCCATGCATACATCATGGCCTGGGCATATGCATGACTTCCTGTATTTCCTAGATTACCAGAATCCTCCCCCAACCTTTTTTTTGAGCCAGGTCAGAGCAGTTTTCAAGGTAATATTTGGAGTTTGCTGTGTTCAAAAAATCCTATGAATAGTTAATCTTGAGCATAAATTTAACAACATTGTGAAACTTGAGTACATGGAATGCTGTATTCATATCCACAGGAAAGTTGACAGGATCTATATAAAAATCTGTTTTTGTTAAGAGCTGGGATCACGACATTAATACTTACCATGCCTATACTCCTTCAATACCTCTTTAATACAATAGTAAATCACTCTCTTTTGCCTGTTCTTGTTTATAAAAGTGGGTCACTCTCTAGTCCTTGCCATTGAGTTGCTGGGGGATGTATACTGTACTCTATACTCTTGCTTGGCAGTTCAGGTTGAAGTGAATAAAAGAAAGAGAGATTAGCCACTTAGGTCATGAAAAGAGTAAGCCAAAATTTTGTCCTTTGCCCCTTAAGATTTTAAAACTGATTTGTATTGTATTAGGTTTGTACCAGAATAACATATACATATCTTATTATTTAGTTTATTATTCCCTGGTTCTAATAGGTCTGTTATCTCACCACTGTTAGACAATAAGATAACATATGCTGGTGAGGATGTGAAGAAAAAGGAACCCTTATACATTGTTGGTGGGAATGCAAATTAATATAGCCATTATAGAAAACAGTTTCTCAAAAAAACCCAAAAGAACTACCATATGATCTACCAACTTCACTACTAGATAGTTATCCAAGGGAAAGGAAATCAGTATGTCAAAGGCATGCCTGCACCCCCACATTTATTGCAGCATTATTTACAATAGCATGAAATGGAATCAACCTAAATGTCCATCAACAAATAAATAGTTAAAAATGTGTTATATACACAGAATTGAATACTCTTAAGTCATGAAAAAGTGAAATCTTGTAATTTGTAGCAAAATAGATAAGCCTGGGAGACATGATGTTAAATAAGTCAGGCACAGAAAGGTAAGTACCACATGCTATTACTCATATGTGAGCGGTAAATGAATTTTGATCTCCTGTGAAGTAGAAAGTAGAGTAGTAGGTATTTAGAGGTTGGAAATGAAGTTGGGATGAGACAATTGGGAGAGATTGGTTAATGAATACAAAATTACAGCTAGACAGGGGGAGTGAGTTCTCATATTCTGTAGCACTATATGATGAATATGATTAACTATAACTTATTACATGTTTTCGAAAAGCTGGAAGAGATAATTTTGAATGTTGACAACACAAAGAAATATTAATACAAATGTTTGAGGTGATGGGATGGGAAAAAAACTACAACAGTAAAGAATCTGATCACTTTTGAGTGCCCTAATTTTGAAAAAAGAAAAAACAACAACAACAACAACAAAAACTCTGCATGGCTTTTACCACTAGACTTTCAGTCCTCTATTGTCTACTCGAACAGTAATCTTCTGCAGCTGTGGATTTTGTTTTGTTTTGTTTTGCTTTTTGCCTCATAATATTTTTGAGTAAAGCCTCTACTTTTCTACCATGAGTGAATTCCAAATTAGGTGAAACAATGGCAAGCACCTTACTTCAATTCTCCAAGTAGTCCTAGACAGGTTAAAACAAACAATACTGTTTGCAAATAAGGTATCCTCTGCTCCTTCCAGATCCAGGGACTAGCATCCCAAACTAGGAATGCAGGCTGCTCCCATCAACACACTGCCAAGCAGAGGAGGAAGGTAGAGCCAGTGTAAATAAAAATGTCTCAAAACTTGTTTTTACTATTTTAAAGGCCCTTTTCCTTGGTTCAGTGTTCTTTTGATTAATATAAACTCTTGGCTGTTTTCCAGAGTTCTGGCAAAGCTGATTCTGGCACTGTTTGCAAGATTTGTTGATGTCTATTTGAACTGATGGGCCATAGGAGCTGCCTACTTCACCATGTTTGCTGATGTCACTCTGGTGGCTGATAGATTTGGAATACATATGTTCATCAGGCAATATTGGTTCCTTCAGTATGGCTGAATTGACTTAATTGTACAAATAGAAAGTAATTTGTTGTATATAGGTCTGCTATATCGATGTTTAACTTATATAAATAAAATATTTACAGTGACAAAATTATTTTATTCATACATTTTCTTTGAATAGTATTTCTAAGCCCCAAATACATTGCTCTTACCATCTCAAAATAATTGACGTCTATGGCTCATCTTAACAGACATACAAGGGACGCTTTTAACCTTAAGCATTAAAGGTTTAATATCCCCAAAAGCTGATAACATCTCTGAAAAGAGGAGAGTGTAAGAAGCTAATGTCTGACAATCTACTACCAGTAAATATGGGTTGAATTTAAAACCATAATCCTGGGTGAGTCACTTTATTCTTTGAATCAGAAATAATAAAGGTGTCAACAACAACCAAAAAAAAAGGTTTCTTAAAAAAGCATTTTGATTTAACTCTATTCTGTTTGTCACCAGTAGATACTGTCTACACTGCATTGAAATCAGAAAATGGATGACCCATCTCCTGCATGAGATTATTTTCAGTGGCAGCGGGAATCTTTGTCTCTTTTGTCTGACCAGAACCTCTCTTTATCCTCAGAGGAAACCACCTCTCATAAAAATCTTAAACTGGTTCAATTATAAGAACACGAACAATTTTGGTATATTTTTTGAAAATAATTAGTTTTGGGCTGAACGTGGTGGCTCATGCCTTAATCCTAGCACTTTGGGATGCAGAAGTAGGAGAGTCACTTGAGCTCCGGAGTTCAAGACCAGCCTGGGCAACATAGTGAGACCACATTCTGCTAAAAAAGAAAAAAGAAAAAGAAAAAAAAAAGAAAATAATTAGTTTTGCAACAGTGTCTTAGAAAGACCACAGATACACATCTACAGAACCCAACTGGTCCCATCTAAGTCTTGCTAAACCTTTCACATCAGAGGCCTGATAGAAATTAAGCTAAATGTTATGAGCATCAACATACAACCACAAGCATATGCCAGAAGAGAGAATCTGACAGCAGCAAAATGGATTGTAGGTGCTAGATAATGACATCCCACATATATATATTATATATATATATCCCACATATTTATATACTATATATAATATTATATATATCCCCCATATATATAATATATATAATATAATATATTATATATAATATATATAATATAATATATTATATTATAATATATATAATATAATATATTATATTATAATATATATAATATAATATATTATATTATAATATATATAATATAATATATTATATATAATATATTATTTTTTGGCAAATACTAAGCATGATTAATAAACCAGAATTCAAACAATTGTATGACAAGTTAGGTTCAGAGAAAAAAACATGTCATAAAGACAGTAATAATATGAAACAAAAAGATTTTGTTTTTGATTAAACAAACATGGAACTAGAAACACACATGGAACATAATATTTCAAAAAAAAGTGTTTGTTACTGCTTCTAGTTTCTTAATCTCTACATATTTTACATATCATAATTTTTGACAGAATCCTCAACGGCCTAGAATTTACTAAAGGCAATACAGATTGCTTGGTTCTCAGCAGCATTCAAAACTAGTGTAGACCATGCTTTGATTCTTGAATTTTTTCTTTCTTTGGATGCCATTGATAGAACATATGGAGAAACATAATGCCATAATCTCTATCTCTATTATTCCTTGATTTTCAGACAAAATCGGTGTCTTCTTATATGCTTCTCTTTCTGCAACAATGTATTTTCAGGTAAAAACTTTATATATTATAAAAGTTTTGGTATAGAAATGACAAAGAAACTGTATTAGGCAAGTTTTTTATTGATAGATTTATGTGCTTATGTATAGAAAAAATAATTGAGGCTAAACTATGTACCTTTCATAGTTTCATTTAATGTTTTGTCAGGTTCATTAAACAGTTGAAAACTATATAACATCAGCTGATTTTCCTTAACTTGTGCCGCCAACATTAGAACTCCTTGAAAGCCTTGTAATACCATTTCTGTCATAATAATTATTAAAATTATTTATTCCAATTATGTAAATTTATATCTCTTGAGTAGATGGCAAAACAAAAAGCAAAGTTGTTACATTGCAGAAGAAAATACCCACACTTCCTCAGTGCTAGGTACGGTCTCCTGGGGAAACCAGTGTGACTGGTAATCTCTATCCCTACTTAGTAGACTGCTTGTTAAAATGATGTCAGTTTACTGCCCAGGACTAACATGACATAAAGTTTTAGATTGTTAAATACTTTCCATTATTGTTAACATAAGTATTTTTTATATACAAAAATTAAACTCAAATGGCAAAAAGTATTTTGTATTAATGTTTGGTTGATATGAATATTTTTGCATACAATTACTGTTTAACTCTCTGTGGTTTTATTTATAAAACATGAATAGAATTCCTAAAATCTAACTTTTAGATTGAATATTATAATTTTAACAAGTGTTGTTTATTTTATACAAATTGGAAAATAGTAAATAGTATTATCTAACCAGCCATACATGTGCTTTATATTAGTATGTCATATATATAATTATTTCAAAGTAATGCCTAATGGCATTGCAATTTTAGATGGCTATCACCAGAATAAGCCAAAGACAATTATTTTATTTAGAAATTGATATTATGAATGCTGCAATTTTCATCCTGAATTTTTTTAATGATTGAATTTTACACATGCAAAATTTATGTAGATAAATTTGAAGCACTAAAACTACATGAGTTATTGGACTAGAAAGAAAAAACACATGACCCTCAATTCAGATTAGTTTTTGTCTTAGTTTTTATTTGACAAGACATCTATGATTGACACTTGACTAAATTTGAGAATAATTTGTTTTTCTTTTTTTTTAAAAAAGGGTGGAGTGAGATGACAAAACGCAAGGCTTCACAATTGTTTCTCCCACAGAAACACCAAATTTAACAACCATCTAAACAACAAAATCACCTTCATGCACACCAAAAATCAATTGAAAACTCACAGTACCTAATTTTTAATTCATATCCTTGAAAGAGGCACTGAAACAGGTAGGAAACACACTCTAGTATTGCTGACAACACCCATCTCACATCCCCCTACAGCAGCTGCATGGTGCAGAGAAAGAATCTATGAACTTGGGAGACGGAGAGCACAGCAATTGTGAGATCATGCATTGAAATCAGCACTTCTCAGTCACAGCAGAAAACAAAAGTGGGCTTAACTCAGCTGAGCCCCAGCCAGAGAAGGATTGCCCATCCCTGTGGTCTGAACATGAGTCTTGGCAAGCTTCACCACCAAGGCTAATGCACTTTGGGGCTCTAATTAAATTCAAAAGGCAGTCTAGGCCATGAGGACTGCAACTCCTAGGCAAGTTCTAGTACTGAGCTGGCCTTGGAGCCAGTTGGTCTGGGGTCATTCCTTGAGACAACAGCTGGGGTGACTATGGGAGTTTGTGCACTACCCATCACCCAACCCCAGGCAGCACAGTTCACAAGTCCAGAAGAGACCTCTGCCTTTGGCTTGAGGAGAGGAGAAGGAAGAATAAAGACAACCTTGCCTTGCATCTTGGATATCAACTCTGGTACCCAAGGATAGGGCACCTACCAGGATAGGGCACCAGGCAGAATCATGAGACCCCCATTTCAGGCTCTAGTACCTAGACAACATTTCTAGGCACACCCTGGACCAGAAGGGAACTGACTGCCTTGAAAAGAAGATGTATTCCCGGCAGGATACAATATCTGTTGACTAAAGAGACCATGGGCCCTGAATAACCAGCAACAATACGCCATGGGCTTTAGGTGAAACTCTGAGATGCGCTGACTTCAGATGAGACTCAGCACACTGTATCCAAGCTGCAGTGGCTATAGTGAGAGATTTATTCAGCTTGAAAAAAGCACAGGGAAAAGTAAAAGATACTTTGCTTTGCAACTTAAGTACCACCTCAGCCATGAAGGGTAGAGCACTAAGTGTGCCCTTGGGGTCCCAAATTTCAGGCCTTGGCTCTTAGTTGGCACTTCTGGACCTGGGCCAGAGGGGATCCTACTCTCCTGAAGAATGAGTTTCATGCCTAGCAGCATTCATCACAGGCTAACCAGAGAATCCTTGAACCTTGAGTGAACATTGGAGGTGGCCTGCCAGTAAACTCCATGTTCCTGTGGTTATGCTGATCATAGAATGAGGCTCCTCTGCCTGTGGAAAATGGAAGTAAGAATAGGGAGGATTGCATCTTTTTGTTCAAGTGCTGTCTCAGCTGCAGTAGCAAACAGATCTCTAAGGTTTATGACACGAGTCCTTTGCTCCTGGACAGCATCTCTGGGTCTTCCTAGGGCCTGAAAGACTTGTCACATTGAAGGAAAGGACACAAACGGGCACATCTAAGAATTATTGGCCCAACAGAGGAGGGAGGGAAAGAGATAGGGGTAGAAAGATTATTCAAAGGGATAACAGAGAACTTCCTAAACCTAAAAAAAAAAAAGATATCAATATCCAAATACAAACAGGTTATAGAATACCAAGCACATTTAAACCAAAGAAGACTAAATCAAGACCTTAATAACCAAATTCCCGAAGATCAAGGATAAAGAATGAATTCAAAAAGCAGCAAAAGAAAAGAAACATACAAGGGAGCTCCAATAAGTCTGGCAGTAAGATTTCAGTGGAAATCTTACAGGCTAGGATAGAGTGGCATGATATATTTAAAGTCTGGAGGAAAAAATATCACCCTAGAATAGTATATGCAGTAAAAGTATCCTTCAAACATAAAGGAAAAATAAAGACTTCTCCAGACAAACAAAAGAAGAGGGATTTCATCAACAACAGACCTGTCCTACTGGAAATGCTAAAGGGAGTACTTTAATGAGAAAGAACAGGATGTTAATGAGCAATAAGAAGTCATTTGAAGATACAAAACACACTAATAATAGTAATTATGCAGAAAAACAAAATATTATACTACTGTAACTGTGATTTGTAATCTACTCTTTTTTTGTAAAGAAAACAACATTTTATTAAAATCGAAAAAATTTCCCCAAAATACATTTTTGAGTAAATGAAAAGATAAGCTACTGGCTGGGAAAAAATGTTTTATATAAACAGCATATTTTACTCTGTTTGTATCTTCACCTATCCCTCTACTTTCTTTTTTTATTATTATTATACTTTAAGTTCTGGGGTACATGTGCAGAATGTGCAATTTTTTTACATAGTTATACATGTACCATGGTGGTTTGCTGCACTCATCAGCCCATCATCTACATTAGGTATTTCTCCTAATGCTATCCCTCCTCTCGCCCGCCATCTCCCAAACAAGAAAGGCAAAAATGGGTAAATGGGATTATATCAGGTTAGAAAGCTTATGCACAGCAATGGAAACAACCAATAAAATGAAGAGATAACCCACAGAACAGGAAAAAATATTTGAAAACTCCCCATCTGACAAGGGATTAATAACTGGAATATATAAGGAGCTCAAAAATCTCCGTAGGAAAAAATTTATAATAAACCAATTAAAAATGGGCAAAATATCTGAATAGTCATTTCCAAAAAGATGATGGACAAATGGAAAGCAGGCATATAAAAACGTACTCAATATCACTGGTCATCTGAGAAATGCGAAACAAAACTATAATGAGATATTATCACACCTCAGTTAAAATAACTTTTATCCAAAAGACAGTCAATAACAAATGCTGGTAAGAATTTGGGGAAAAGGGAACACTTGTACACTGTTGGTGGGAATGTATATTAGCATAACCACTATGGAAAACAGTTTGGAGTTTCCTCAAAACACAAAAAGTAGAGCTACCATATGATCCAGCAATCCCACTGCTGGGTATACAGACAAAAGAGGGGAAATTGGTATATCAAAGAGATATCTGCACTCCCATGTTTGTTGCAGTACTGTGAATAATAGTGCAGATTTGGAAGCAACCTAAGTGCTCAGCCACAGATGAAGGGTTAAAGAAAATGTAGTATACATACACAATGTAGTACTATAGTAATAAAAAATAAGATCCTATCTTTTGCAACAACATTGATGGAGCTGGAGGTCATTTTCTTAGGTAAATAAGGTATGCACAGAGAACAAACATTGCATGTTCTCTCTTATTTGTGTGTGCTAAAAATGAGAAGAATTGAATTCATCAAGATAGAAAGTAGAACGATTGCTACCAGAGGCTGGCAAGGGCAGTGGAGGAATGGGAGGGAGAGGATGGTTAATGGGTACAAAAATATGGTTGAAAAGCATTACTAAGACTTAACTATTTGATGACACAACAGGGTAACAATAGTTAATTTAATTCTACCTTTAAAATAAAAGAGGAGTATAATTGGATTGTTTGTAATACAAAGGATAAATGCTTGTGGGGATGGAGTCCCTATTTTTCATGATGTAATTATTATGCATCATATGTCTATATCAAAATATATCAGGTACCTCAGAAATATGCACACCTGCTATGTACCCACAGAAACTAAATACTTAAAAAGTGACTTAGACTGAATTCAAATGAACAATTTAGCCTTGCACATAAAGGAACCAGAAAAAATAAAATAAAATAAAATAAAATAAAACATTTTTAAAAAGCTAGCAGGAGAAAATAAATAATTGAAATTAGAAAAAACTGAATGAAATCAAGATGCAAAAATCCAATAAAAGATTAATGAAACTGAGATTTGTTTTTTTGGAAGAAAAAGAAAGATCCAAATAATCACAATCAGAAACAGCAAACGTGATATTACTACTAATCCTGCAGAAATACAGAAGATTCTCAGTAACTACTATGAACAATATTAAACAAAGAAATTAGAAAATTTATCAGTAAATGAATAAATTCCTGGAAGCACACAATCTCCCAAGATTGAATCTCAAGAAAGATATTGAAACCCTGAACAGACTAATACAAACTTGTAAAATTAAATCAACATTAAATAACTACCAACCAAAAAGAGTCCTGGTATATATACATTTATAGCCAAATTCTACCAGGCATACAAAAAAGACTGATACCAATCTCATTAACACTATTTCAAAAAGTTAAGGAGGAGATCTCCCCACTAACTCACTATAAAACCAGCGTTATCCTCATACCAAAATCTGTCAGAGACACAATAAACAAAAACAAACTATAGACCAATATCCCAGATCAACATAGACACAAATATCCTCAACAAAATATTAACAAACTGAATCCAGCAGCAAATAAAAAAGTTAATATACCATGATGAGGTAGGCTTTATTCCAGGGATATAAAGCTGGTTTAACATACACAAGGCAATAAATGTGATTCTACACAAAATCAGAATAAAAGACAAAAAACATATAATCATCTCAATAGAAGTAGAAAAATCTTTCTATAAATCTATTATTCCTTCATGACAAAAACCCTCAACAGACTAGGTGTCAAACGAACATATCTCAAAATAATAAGGACCATGTATGAAAAACCCACATCCAACATCAAATTGAATGGGCAAAGGCTGGAACCATTCCCCTTTAGAACTAGAAATAGCCACAAAGAAAGTAAAATATGTAAGAATACAGCTAACCAAAGAGGTGAAATATCTCTAGCAGCAGAACTACAAAACACTGCTGAGAGAAGTCAGAGATGACACAAATGGAAAAACAATTTATCCTCATGAATTGAACAATATCATTATAATTAATTTCATATGTCCAAAAGCAAGTTACAGATTCAATGCTATTCCTATCAAACAACCAATGGCATTTTTCACAGAAATAGAAAACACTATTTAAAAACTTATATGGAACTAAACGAGAGCTCGAATACCCAAAGCAATCATGAGCAAAAAGTATATAGCCAGAGGCATCACACTGCCCAATGTCAAACTATGTAGTAAGACTACACTCTCCAAAACAGGATGGTATTGGTACAAAAACAGACACATAGACCAAAGGAACAGAATAGAAAACTCAGAAATAAAGCCATACACCCACAAACATCTGACTTTCAACAAGGCTGAGAAAAACAAGCAATGGGCAAAGGACTCCCTATTCAATAAATGGTCCTGGGATAACTGGCTAGCCATATGCAGAGAAACCAAACTAGACCGTTATATTTTGCCATATGCAAAATTTAACTCAAGATGGATTAAAGATTTAAATGTAATACCAAAACTACAAAAATCCTAGAAGAAAACCTAGAAAATACCCATCTTAACATTGGCCTTGGGAAAAAATTTTTGGCTAAGACCTCAAAAGCAATCGAAACAAAAACAAAAATTGACAATTGGGACTCAATTAAACTAAAGAGCTTCTGCATGGCAAAAGAAACTATCAACAGGGAAAACAGAAAACCTACAGAAAGGGAAAACATATTTGCAAATCATGCACGCAACAAAGGCCTAATATTCAGAATCTATAAGGAACTTAAAGAAATCGATAGGCAAAAACAAACAACCCCATTGGAAAATGGGCAGAGAATATAAACAAACATTTCTCAAAAGAAGACATACAAGCAGCCAACAAACATATGAAAAAACGTTCATCATTATCAGCAGTCATCAGAGAAATGCAAATCAAAACCACAATGAAATGCCATCTCATACCACTCAGATGACTATTATTAAAATGTCAAAAAACAACAGATGCCAGTGATGGTTTGGAGAAAAGAAAATGTTTATATACATCATTGGTGGGATGCAATTTAGTTCAGCCACTGCGCAGAGTAGTTTGGAGATTTCTCAAAGAAATTAAAATAGCTATATTGAACCAATTAGTTCCATTACTGGGTATATACCCAAAGGAAGAGAAATCATTCTACCAAAAAGATACATAGACTCATATGTTCATCACTTCACTGTTCACAACAGCAACAACATGGAATCAAGCCTGGTGCCAATGAATGGTTGAGTGGAGAACGAAATGTGTTACACACACACCATAGAATACTACACAGCCATAAAAAGGATAAAAACATATCCTTTTCAGCATCATGGATGCAGTTGGACGCCATTATTCTACGTGAATTAATGGAGGTGGAGAAAACAAAATAGAGAATGTTCTTATAAGTGGGAGCTAAGCATTGAGCACACATGGTCATAAATATGGGAACAATAGGCACTGCAGGCTACTAGAGGCAAGCAGGAGAGAGTGGAGTGTGGTTTGAAAGCTGCCTGTTGGGTACTATCCTCACTACCTGGGTGACATGATCTGTACCCCTTCAGTATCACACAATATGCCCATATAACAAACCTGCACATACACCCCCTGTATCTAAAATAAAAGTTGAGATTATTTTTAAAAAGTAAAATGACAAACTACAGATTGGGAGAAAATATTTGCAATTCTTATATCTCGTAAGTGTCTAGTATTCATAATAAATAAAGAATGCTTTCAACTTATTCACATAAAGACAAATAACCCAACTTTTAAGTGGTAAAGGATTTGAATAGACATTTCTCCAAAGAAGCAATATAAAGGGCTGCCAAACCTATGAAAATATAACATCATTAATTTGAGAAATGCAAATGCAAATCACAGTGAGATACCATTTCACACTTACTAGGATAATTATACTAAAAAATAGAAGGTAAAAAGTGTTAGCAATGATCTAAAGAAATTAAAATCCTTGCACATTTCTGGTGCAAATGTAAAATTGTACAACCATTGTGGAAAACAGTTTGGTGGTCCCTAAGAGAGTTAAAGATAAAATGACCACATGACCCATTTGTTCTGCTTCTACATATTTATCTAAAAGAATTGAAGAGGTGCACAAAAAAATTTATATTCATGCATGTTCAATAGTAAAAAGAGGAACCAACTCCAATGTTCATAAATGAATACATGGATAAATAAATCATGATAAATCAATACAATCAAATATTATTCTTTTATAAAAATGGAATGAGATACTGATATATGCTTCAGCATTGATGAACCTCAAAAGCATGATTCTAAATGAGAAGAGCTGGACACAAAAGGTCACCTATTCTATGACTCCATTTATGTGAAATACCTAGAATAAGTAAATCCATATACATAAAGCATATTGGATTTGCCAGTGGCTGGAAAGAGGGCTGGATTTGGAAACTGCTTATTGGGTATTCAGTTTCTTTTGGGAGTGATAGACGTTCCAAAACACTATGAATCTAGTAAATGCCGTTTAATTTTTCACTTTAAACTAGTTAATGTTATATCGTGTGAAATTTCCTTCAGTATAAATGTCAGTCATAAGTTTGATGAGATATCTATGAATGATTTAGCATCTTGTAAAATCATTTCAAAACCTTTTGCTACATGTTGCAAGACATGTCTCTAAAGAGAAAATGTTGACTATTTTCTTCAAACATAATTTTTCACAATTCTTATTATTGGTTGTCTTTGTTGTTTTTTTGTTGTTGTTGTAAACGAACTAAATTGAAAAGTTTAAAATTGTGAGTTATAAAAGAAACACATTTAATATGGAAAGTCTGTGATCAAATTCTAAAAATTACCATACATAATTATCAGTACTGTTTGCTAGAAGCCAGTCTGAGACGAAATTCTTGTTTCATCTTTTTCCAAATGTATTACAAAGGATGGACAATTTTTGTTTCCAAATCTGTTTTCTTTGAAAAAGTTAAAATTTAGGAATTAAAATGTGATTAATGATGTAACTGCCATGAATTTTTTGAGAAATTAAATGTATGACTATATGTAAATAAATAAGATTCACACCACTGCACTTTAGCCTGGGCGACAGAGCGAGACTCAGTCTCAAAAAAAAAGGATAAATTATAATGATAATAGTTGTTATTGTTGTTATTTTCTATCATCTTCTTGAGTTGCAGGTTTAACCTATCTCTTTTTCCCCCTAAATTGCAATGCTAATTTTGTTGTTGGCTAAATACGTATCTCCTGTCACTACACCATACTTGTTATAAATTCATTTGATAATTCTATCTTGTTTAGTTTTGATTAAACCATTCCTGTTTAAAACTTTGAAGATTATAAAATGTAGTAACTCATTTTTAAATGTACTCAAATGTATATTCAATAGTATAGTTACTGTTATAAATTCACAGACAAAATACCTCAATGATTCGTTCTCCTAAAGTCAATTATTTCTTAATATACAGTTCTTTAGTCAAACAAATAATGTTTGACTAAAGAGTCATTAGTTACGTGTTTAGGATAAAAACCATTTGAAAATCCTGTCATTTGTGACAACATAGATGGAACTGGAGGACATTATGTTAAGTAAAATAGGCCAGGAAGAGAAAGCTAAACACCATGTTTTCACTCATAAATGGAAGCTAAAAAAAAGTTCATATCATGGAATTCTACAAACAGAGAATACTAAAGGCTGGGGAAGGGAGATTAAGAAGAGGTTTATTAAAGGATACAAAATTACCACTAGATAGGAGGAATAAATTCCAGTGTCCTCTACTACTGTAAGATGACTATAGTTAACAATAATGCATTATATAGTTTTGAATAGATAGAAGAAGGATATTGAATGTTCCCAAAACAAAGAAATAAAAAATGTTTGAGATGACGGGTATGTTAACTACCCCACCTGATAACTATATATTATATGTATCAAAATATCATATGTACCCCATGAATATGTACAATTATTTTACAAAATAATTACAAAATAAATTTATAAACACATAAGAAAACAAATACTATGTGTAAGAACAACATAAGTTAATAGTTATATTTCAAAAAGGAAAGTCTGGTGAAATGCATGTTAATTTCACCAATTGCTTTATCTAACAAGATATTTAATATGAATATAAGTATAGTTTCTTACCATAATATTGTGTTTGACATTAAGGTATCATGTTCATGGAGGACATTCATTTCAATAGGTTTAACATCGTTCTATCCTTTCTACATAGTAGAAAGTAGATAAAAGTCCTCTAGTATCCTTTCCTTACTACAGTGTAGATGGGATCTCAAGATTGCTGGTTTGGTCGAATTTTTTTAGTTGCTTTTTCAAAGGTTGTTGAGAATTGTTAGCAACTTTAAAGACTATAATCCACAACAAATCTAATTACCTCTGGAAAAAATACAAAACAATTTTATTTTTCTATTTCTGACTCAAGGATAAAGATACATACATGTATAATTAAAATCACGTCTTTTAAACAGTTATTCAAAGTGGTGGAGGAAGTAACTTATTGAAATACTTTACATTTACAACTTTGGTAATAGTTGTAGTAGTTGTCCAAGTATCTATAACTGTTTTATGAATGAAGCTGTCACTTTCATAGATTTTTTTTACTTATAACTGAATTCCTGTTTATAAAAGCTTAATTATGAAAATATTTTAATTTAATTTTAATGTATTCAGGCTGTCATAGCAAAATTTCACAGACTGGGGGGCTTAAACAACAGACATTTATTTCTCACAGTTCTGGAGGTTGGGAAGTCCAAGCTCAAGGTACAGGCAAGGCAGATTTATTCTGAGATCTCTTCTCTTGTCTAGCAGGTGGCTGTCACTTAGCTGTATCCTCATTTGACCTCTTATTAGTGTTTACACACAGAGAAAGAGAGAAAAAGAGTGAGAGAGAGAGAGAGAGAGAGAGAGAGAGAGAGAGACAGAATGAGCAGACAAGAGCTAGTTCTCTGAGGTCTCTTCTTACAACATCACTAATCCTAGCAGATTATAGCCCCACCCTTATGGCCTTATTTAGCCTTAATCACTTCTATACAGGTCTTACCTCCAAATAGTCACATTGGAGGTTAGAGCTTCAACATATGAATTGTGGGTGAGGGGACACATTTTAGATCACAGCAGATAAATACATCTTTTGATGTTAAAATCCTTTCAGTTAAATTTCAGTATCAGTATAATGGAATATATTTTAAACAATTCCAGGGTTCGAAGAGAAAAACATTTACATTTTTCAGGCAAATTTCAGTATCAGTATAATGGAATATATTTTAAACAATTCCAGGGCTCAAAGAGGAAAATATTTACATTTTTTCGTATTTACACAATTTGGAATTATATTAACTCTTCATATAAAAATCTGTGTTTTGAAATATTACTGTGGATAAATACACATTACTTAAAATAATTTTCAAAACAGCAAAATACAGAATGAGACAAAATGCTGATGAAGAAGATGTCTACCCATCAACAAACCATTAGCAATTCCAGCTTGTGCTCTACAATAAAACATGCTGTGTAGAAGTGATTGCATTTGAAGTTATTGGTACATTTGAATGCAAACTACCCAACCATGAAAAATGAGGCTTCCATTTGCTATAAAAATAAATTAAGAGGCAATGCTTTGCTGGCAAAGCCATTTGAGCACCTCAGTTCATAACTATTCATGGTACCATTAACAGATGTCTTTGCTCGCACTGTGAGCTGCCTTATGATATTGTTATATTCAGCATTGTTTTATATCTAAAGTGAATGTAGGAAACTTGTTTGAGGATATAATAAAACCTATCCCAATGTAGAGATCCTGTGGGAAATTATACAATAATGTTACCTACATAACTAATTTTCTTCTTATGAAATCATGATTCCCACTACACTTTTAGAGCTATTGAAACTATTGTTTAGCATCACCATTTCCATGTTAATATCTCAGTAAATCACACAAATGTAATACTTGGTGCAGAAAGTGAGCCATTTCCTTTGGGAACATGAGTTTTCACTTCTAAATAAAAAGTTGCATGAAGTGAATACTAAGCATGTTGCATGTTGCTTATTGACATTAAAAGTACTTTTTTTCTTAAAAGAATAACTTTCTCCAAGGTAAGCCATGGAGCTAGGGACTAGTATATTTAAATAAGAGAGATTTAAGGAAAAAATGTAATTGTTGCTTTTGCCAATTCTCTATTGATTTAAAATTTCTAGAAAATATTTAAGAATATGCTCAAGTAATATCTTTTAAAAAATCTGTCATCAAAGTGCACACACACACACACACACTGTGAAAGGCAATGAATGTGGTGCAGAGATTAGTTTACATTAACAAAAACAAGCAACAACAATAATCTTTTAAAAAAAAACTTTACTTGACATATGAGGTAAAAAAATTGCATGTGTTTAAAAAATTTATTCCTGGATCTCTGTTTCCTCATTCCTAGAATAAAGATAATAATTCACATTCCATGCAAAGATTAAGTTAGACAAGGATTAGAAAAATATACAATCAATGTGGAAAATGTAGTATCTGCTTGAAAGTTGGTGACTATATTTTATCCTCTTAATTATTTGTCTTCGCATTTGCCTCTGAGGACATATACCATTACACACACTTATTAAAAACACAGCTACCAAAAGACCCATGAAATTTTCCTTTGTATTACTTTAGGCCTCAACTGCTATTGAAAACAGCAGTTGACAGTAATAATTCAGGATGAAGAGCTTTTCAGCCATAATCTCTTAAGAAAAAACTATAGCAAAAACAGAAAAACTAAAAGATAACGTAAATTACACGTTGAAAATAAAACAACTTCTTCACCCCTTCCCATTATTTTGCCAGAATATCAGAGCTCCTTGTGCAAATTCAGATGACTTTTACCAAGTAATCTTAAACAGTTTTGAGTCTTTCTCTTTTGTAGATATGCTATTTAATATTATTACTTAGTTTGGAATTTGATAATCCTGAAAAGTTGAAGATAAATCTGATTCGAATGAACCCATACATATGCATTTTCCTTGTCTATACCATGAATATTATTATACTTCTCTCTGCTTATGTAGAAGAATCAAAACTAATCATCATTAGTAGGAAGCATATAACCCAGTTGGTGAGACAAAACAGACAAGAGACCGCATGGTGACACAATTTCTAAGCAATATGAAACAGCATGTATTACTTATATGCTAAAGGTCATGAGCATGGAAAAAATTGCAATGTGGGACATAGCTCTTGATAAATACAATGAAAGTATGCCTGAAAGAAAGTGCAAAAACGATAGCAAATTTAGTTGAAATAGCTTTTGTCATATAATACTAAAGTTGAACAAGGTTGAACATATGTATTTCAGCTATAATAATAGTTTTTCTTACCTTTATAATTTTTTTTTTTTTTGAGACTGAGTCTTGTTCTGTCACCCAGGCTGGAGTGCAGTGGCAGGATCTCGGCTCACTGCAACCTCTGCCTCCCGTGTTCAAATGATTCTCCTGCCCCAGCCTCCTGAGCAGGTGAGACTCTAGGCATGCACCACCACACCTGTCTAATATTTGCATTTTTAGTAGAGACGGGGTTTCACCATCTTGGCCAGGCTGATCTCGAACTCCTGACCTCAAGTGATCCGCCAATCTCGGCCTTACAAAGTGCTGGGATTATAGGCATGATCCACTGCGCCCGGCCTCCTTTATAATTTTTTAAAATTGTGGTAAAACATATATAATAGAAAGTTTAGCATTGTAACCATTTATAGGTCTACAATTTAGTGGCTTTAAGTACATCACACTGTCCAATTATTACCACCATCCATCATCACCAGAACTTTTCTCATCTTACCGAACTGAAACTACTCATTAAACAATAATTCCCACTTTATGTTTCTATACATGTGTTTATTCTAGGCACCTCTTATAAGTAGAATAATATCATATTTGTACTTTTGTGACTGGCTTATTTCACTGAGCATAATATATTCAGAGTCCACCCACATTGTAGCACGTGCCAGAGTTTCCTTCCTTTTAAAGGCTGGTTAATATTCCACTGAATGTATATACCACATTTTGTTTATTTATTCATCCATCAATGAACACTTGGGTTGCTTTCACCTTGTAGCTATTCTGAATAATACTATTATAAACATGGGTGTACAAAAATTTCTGTTTGAGTACCTTATTTTCAGTTCATTTTGTATAGATGAGTAAAATTGCTGGATTGTATGGATTCTACTTTTAATTTTTAGAGGAATTTCCATACTCTATTTCATAGTGGCTACATCATCTATCATTTCCAACAACAGAGCACAAGGATTCCAATTTCTTTACAGCATAACCAACATATATATATTTTTAATAATAGCTACCTAATGCAGACAAAGTGATATCTCATCTTTTCATATGCTTATTGGCTGTATGTATATTATTTGAAAAGTATGTCTATTCAAGCACATGTAAATATATACTATGTATTATATGTCAAGTATACCTCCATAAATATTTATTTAAAAATACATCAAAAGTTTGAAAAGTGTTTAAATCCAAATGATTAGTAAACTCTCTAAACTTTCAGAAAGATGAAAACTCTAACAAAGGAGAGTACCAAGAAATCTCAAGTATTTAAAAATGCACATTAGAGAAAAAATAATGCCAGGAAATCAAATTCAGTATCCTAGAAAAATGCTAATTAAATTATTTAATACTCATATTTTTGAGTGCTTTAATATATTAGGATCTGTTCTGGTTACTGAAGTAGAAATCTCTTCAAACTAGGCAGTCTTTTTTCATATGAACCTTCATTGAGTTTAAATTCTGGTCATGGAGATTATGTAATCAAAAGTATAGAGTAGGAATAAACATTGACTTTTATCAAATGACATTCAATGTATTTGTTTCAGATTAGAATAACTTATTAATTGTACTTATCAGTACATATCTCAATATCAAAAAGTGCATCACTATATATATATCAATAACATAAAGCACATCATGCCAGGCATCGTGGCTCATGTCTATAATCCCAGTGATTTGGGAGGCCAAGGGAGAAGCATCATTTGAGGTCAGGATCTCAACCTGAGCAACACAGTGAGACACTGTCTCCACAAAAAATAAAATAAGTGCTGGAAACTGTTGCCATTCTGTAAGTGACACCCTCTTTCAAAGAAAATCCAGGGGGAGTCTGGAAACCTTGATTAATACAACATTTTTTTCTGTCATTGTGACTTTTGTTGTTGTTGTTGTTAGAAATTTCCCAGCTTTATTGAGGTATAAATTAACAAATACAAATTGTATATATTTAAGGTGTATAACATGTTGTACATATACCTTGTGAAATGATTGTTACAATCAAGCTTATTAACATACCCATTGCTTCATATATTTACTTATTTGTGGTGAGAACATTTAAGATTTTGTCTCTTAGCAAATTTCAAAGATACAACACAGTATTATTAGCTATAGTCACCATGCTGTACATTAGATCTCCAGAATTCATTCATACTACAAAATTGAAAATTTGTACCCTTCGATCAAAATTTCCCCATTTTTCCTACCCAAAGTCCCTGGCAACCACCTTATGAGTTCATCTTTTTTAGATTCTACCTATAAAAGAGAGATAAAGCTGTATTTGTTTTTCTGTGCCTGGATTATTTCACCTTGTGTAGTGTTCTACAGGTTTATTGATGTTGCAACAAATGACAGTTTCCTTCTTTTTTTGGAGATAAGGACTTTATTTATTTTTATTTTTTAAATTTAATTTTTTATTCTTATTTTATATATCAATAGGTTTTGGGGGAACAGGTGGTGTTTGGTTACATGAATAAGTTTTTTAGTGGTGATTTCTGAAGATTTGGCGTACCCATCACCTAAACAATGAACACTGTACCCAATGTGTAGTCTTTTATCCTTTGCCACTCACCCTCCACTTTCCCCAGTCTCCAAAGTCCAATGTATTGTTCTTATGCCTTTGCATCCTTGTAGCTTAGCTCCCATACATGAGTGAGAACATAAAATGTTTGGTTTTCCATTCCTGAGTTACTTCACTTAGAATAATAGTCTCCAATTCCATACAGGTTGCTGTGAATGCCATTATTTCATTCCTCTACATAGCTGAGTTGAATTCCATGTTGTGTGTATATATCGTGTGTGTGTGTGTGTGTGTATGTATAACATTTTTATATATATAACACATATATATGTAATATATAACACATATATGTAACACATATATGTAACACACATATATAACACATATATATGATATATATATGATATATATATATATATATCACATTTTCTTTATCCATTCATTGGCTGATGGGCATTTGGGCTGGTTCCACGTTTTTGCAATTGCAACTTGTGCTGCTATAAACATTTGAGTTGTATTTCAGCTCACTCTTAAGCCATTGTCCTGATTATTCAGACTCCTGCTTGTATCACAATGGTTCTTACTTTTGAATTCCCAGTATAATCACTTATTTGGAAACACTGGTGTGTTCAGTCATTGATCTCAAAACAATTTCACTATAACAAAGTGGCTGGATGTGAAGGGCTTCCTCCTCCATTCACACACTGTCACCATGCCAGCTTTTCCTGAAGAAGCCATAGATCATGGTGCTGAAACCAAAACTCTAGATCTCATTTTCCCTTTTCTCTTAGAGGCCATTTTCTCAGTATGGACCTCTTTTACAGCAATCAGTATATTATAAAATTTTACTAATATTAAACTTAATGAAGACAGTCATAGTATGTATTGTTTCAGGGAAACGAAATCTTGTCTTTTACATAATGTTTCTCATCCTCTTTTCAAAATCTTCACATTTTTGCATACAAAAGCTGCCTTTACATAATTACAACAAAGTTGTTTAACCTTTTCCCCACGACAATATCAGAGAAGTCATGCAACTTCCATGTTACCAATCCAGACACAAGAAAATGCACAGTATGTCTGACTTGGTGCACCTGACAAGAAAGAGGTAGTATCTTCTTTTGACCAAATAACTAAATAAATAAAACTTTAAAAATAGTAAAGCTTTCTGAACTGGAAACTACACTCTTTGGAATGAGCTTTAGAATATGATAAAGGACTTTCCAGGTTAAAAAAAATGTATAAGGATGTTAAAAACAAGGTTTTTAAAAAAATAAAAATACAAAGTGGGTATAATTTTATCAAAAATATAATATAGGTTTTCAAAAATTAAACAACATAAAGAACTAATGACATAGTTTGGCTCTGTGTCTCCACCCAAATTTTGTGTGGGATTTTAATCCCCACATGTCAGGGGAGGGACCTGGTGGGAGGTGATTAGGTCATGAGGGCGGATTTCCCTCATGCTGTTCTCCTGATAGTGAGCATTCTCAGGAAAACTGATGGTTTAAAAGTGTGGCACCTCCCTGCTCACTCTCTCTCTCTCCTGCGGCCATGTAAGAGGTGCCTGCTTCCCCTTCACCTTCTGTTATGATTGTAAGTTTTCTGAGGCCTTTCCAGACATGTGGAACTGTGAGTCAATTAAACATCTTTTCTTTATAAATTACCCAGTCTCAGATAGTTCTTTATAGCACTGTGAAAATGGACTAATAAAACTATAAAGAATAAAATAAAAATTACATAAAATCTTACCATACAGAGATCTCTTCTCATTTTTATAAACCTAAATTAATACTAGAAAATACATATATTTGTGTTTATGCATATCGATAAACAGCTACATGTACATCTAGTTATAGAACGGAATAATTTCTCTTAATAATTTTATTATACTATTATCAGACTAATATATTTTTATTCTCCAAAATTCAAGCAATATATAAATATACTTTCAGACCTTTGTACACACACATATATAAACCCTTTTTAACATAAAATGGCAATACTACATTTATTTTTTCTATACCATAAGATTTTAAAACACATTTTGTCCTGTAATTCCTTTTGTATCTGTATCTATTTTATTTTTAAATAGTTGGATAATTTTCCATAATATTAGTATATTAAATTTATTTAAATATGAAATATTATGTTGTTTTCAGCTCTTCAGATAATGCTACAGTAAAAACTAAATACATGCAAGGGCATTTTCCTTTTTTGTTGGTAAATTGTATTTATAATGTATATACGTGTCCCTTAAGTAACATGAGCTTTGGGAGAATTTTGCTATATTCTCATGGTTTTAAAATTTCACCATCATATGTCAAAGTGTTTTCTTGCCTTGCTTACTTCTTTTTCATCTATCTCAGCATTCCCTGAGACCCCACAATTGAATAACTTTTTTGATTTTGGGAACTAATCTTTTAGTATTTCTTTTTGTATGCCTTTTCTCAATTTTTTTTTTCGAAAAAACTTTAGTAAAGCACAGCAGGTTGGGACCCTTTCCTCCAGACCCATAGCCTTGAGGGGAAAATTCTTATTTTCTCCTTGCAGCCTGGTTCACAGGAATGTGACAGTTTATGACAAATAGAGAATGTTAACACTTTTAAGACATGGTTATCTAAATTGTATATTTTAATTGTATATTTTATATCCATGATTCAAGGATCACATATGAACTGTGAAGACTGAATTGACCATGAAGTGCACCACAACGAGTACTGTTCTGATTATACAGGGTAAGATACTTAAAACAACCCACAAGGATCCACAGGGTATCTTTATATCAGGCTTTACTTAGGGTGAAGGTAGAACAGGACAGAACATACAGACATTTTCAGTGAGGTCTGAAAATTTCCAGGCGCAGACCCTCAGATTCTCACTCAGTTGCACAGGATATGCTTTTTATTTAAATTTTTGATTTCTATGTTCACTGGACTAGAAAAATCATCCACCCTCCATAAGTACTTCTTGTGTTTTTCTGCTGTGAAGATCCTTGAACTTCCTTTGCTTACCCCTTTTTTCCTTGGCATGTTATTTGGCTATCTTTTAAGTTTGTTTCATCTAGTTCCCTGAAGCAATAATACTTGTCCAAGATATTTGTCATATTTCTTTTGAAATAACACCCCTCTTAAGTGACCTATGTGTGACAATAAGACCTTTTCCTCAGTATGTTTTCCATTATTAAAGAAAAAAATCAGTTTACCTTAGAACACCTTACCTGTACCAATTTCACTCAAGACTCCTTAAGGGCATTTTGAAGAACGTTGGTTTATCCAACAGCAGGTTGTTGCCAATGGATGCTTATTGCTTGAATACTATTTGTGTATATATTTAAGATGCCAAAATTTTGAGTTCTCTTGAATGATCTCATATAAGTAGTAGTTATTCCCAAAATATATTTTTGTATGAGTATGCCAAGGAGCTTCATATAGCCATTGTTAGTAAACATTGCGACTATCATTGGCCAAACTGACCTTGGCTGCAGGTGACATATATTATTTACTTTGATTATTGCCCTCAATCCACAAAGACATGATCTTTCAGCATTAGGACATATGAAACGATGATGAGTCAGATACAAAACAGATATTTTGTGTCTTATTATCTGGTCACTGCCTTTATTAGTGTGTTTAAACAAACTAGTTGGGAAGTGTCAGAGTTCCTGAGAAGGTCTGTAGGCCTCTTCTCTGCAGGCCAGAGGAAATGATGGGAGACACTATTCCATCTTGTGAAGGAGAGTATGAAGAAAATTTTATATATAAATGATAGTTATCTCATGTTAAGTAGAAATATAATGTTGTTTTTGAATGGCACTTAAGTAAGTGCTAAAGGAGGAAAATGGATGCTGAGATGCAAAATTGTGAATTGTGCTGGTCATTTAGTTTCAAATTCATTTTCTATACTTCCTTATGAAACCCATTTCCCTGAAGCCTTGGCAAATGGCTTCTTGCAAGATGCAACCAGTGGGAGCTTTAGCTGAGGTGACACAATTCCTTCTCTTGTCCTTCCAGCTTTATAGATGTTAACAATATCTTAGTGTTGCAAATATTCAGGCTGTGTCACTAGTTTCTATTTGATTTTTCATATCATTTAGGACCTTCATAAATAGAGCTTATATTAAACTTCATTTACTGGACCACCCAGCAAGGGCTTTATTCTACTGACAAGATCCTCACTGATACAATGATCTTTTAGTTAACCCATCAATTGTATCATTTTTTTTTCAGTATTTTGAAACAATTGGAAAACACCTGCTTTGCAAATGCACTTGGTTCTCAATAATTGAAGCTGTTCTTTCAATTTCTGTGATGTATGCCAAACAACTTTAGAAAATTGATCAAAAAACTATTACTCTTTTAAAATGACCTATTTCACTTTCACTTAGAGAAAACTTATTGAAGCTGATTCACTCAAAAAGGGTAGAATTTAAATCTTGTTAATCTGAATTCATTTTTGTCGATGAAGTATTGTTGGATTATTAATTTTATTTTATCACTTTCTTTATATTTATTTTTCTCAAAATCATAGCCCAATAGCTTTTGCTTAAATAATGTACAAGGAGATTTGGCTCTTCAATCTAATTTGCAAAGCCAATCTTCATTATAAAAGCAATCAGCCTTATCAGATTTACATTCTATCATATAAAGCCCAACTTCAAATTTTAAATTAAATAAATGTTTAAATTAAGTGAAATTATATACCCATAAGAACCATAATACTTCTGAATGAGGCAACAGCTTAGTTTAAATTTATTCTATTTTATCATAAAATGTTGAAACAACTGTTGTTAATTTTTTATCTTGAAATTAGTAACACTTATTTTTCAATGGCTGTGTTCAGATGAATATTCAATTTTATTGAGTAATACTTGTTTAGGCATATAGCAAAATTCCTGATTTACACAGGAAGAAGAGCAACTGAGTCTATTCTTGTGCCACCTCTCGGCAGTATCTCTTTCTGTAGAGCTTCTCATATGCCAATCTCAAATAAAACATTATCATTTTAAATAAATCTGTCCACATTTTTTAAAACTTTCTTCTACTTGTTTCCTTGGCCAGTCTTTAATGCTATAATTTATTCCATAAAGTCATTTTAATGGGTGAAATTTTAGGCATAAATTAACCAGGATTTATTGGAAACAACTATAAATTCACCAATTTAGAAAGCATATCTTTTATCTTCTACAATTGGTGCCACAAATTTCTGATAAATATATTCTGCAAGGTCATAAACTTTGTGACCTACAGCAGTGTCATGATATCAATATATCAAATTATCCTTTTGTTTGTATCACAATTCCCAATTTCTAATCAATAAATCCCTTTCATAACAACACACTAGAAAACATGCATTGAATATACTTGAATTACTTTCCCCAGAAAAATTCTCGAGTAATGTACATATACTATTTCTAAGGGAATAATAATAAGCTCCTGGTAAACTTATGCACTGGTTTAAGCATAGTTTTGTTCCTATCAAAGTAATAAATAACAGTCATTTACAAGTTGTTCTTGGTGCTATTAGTGTATGATTTTTGACCACAGGTAAAATAGATCAGAGTGCACAAATTAAATGTAGGAACAAAAAAGTCTCAAATTCATCATTTTTTTTTTTTTTTTTGAGATAGAGTCTCACTCTGTTGCCCAGGTTAGAGTGCAGTTACGTGATCTTGCCTCATTGCAAGCTCCACCTCCCGGGTTCATGCCATTCTCCTGCCTCAGCCTCCCAAGTAGCTGTGACTACAGGCGGCCACCACCACACCAGGCCAATTTTTTGTATTTTTAGTAGAGATGGTGTTTCACTGTGATAGCCAGAATGGTCTCTATCTCCTGACCTCATGATCCACCCACCTCAGCCTCCTAAAGTAAACTCATCATTTTTTCAGAAAGCTAATTTTGTGTGAAATAACAAGATGAGTAAGCCTATTAAAGTTGATATTTGTACTGGAAATATCATCAGATCCTTAAATAGATAACTGTGGTCCCAGAATCACAACATGTGTTTGATATGGTTTGGCTGTGTCCCTACTCAAATCTCATCCTGAGTTGTAGTTCCCATAATGCCCACATGACATGGGAGGGACCTGGTTGGAGGTAACTGAATCGTGGGAATGGTTTCTGCCATGCTATTCTCATCATAGTGAATTAGCTCTCAGGAGATCTGATGGTTTTGCAAACGGCTTCCCCCTTTGCTTCGCTCTCATTTTTCTCCTTCCTGCTGCCATGTGAAGAAGGAAGTGGGTGCTTACACTTTTGCCATGATTGTAAGTTTCCTGAGGCCTCCCAAGCCATGCTGAACTGTGAGTCAATTAAACCTCTTTCCTTTATAATTACCCAATCTGGGTACATCTTTATTAGCAACATGAGAACAGGCTAATACACTGCTTAATTAGTTCTTTTTCATAAATCCATTTAATGATCAGAGAATTTACCATAGTAATAATAAAATTGGTATATGCAGATATATTATTCTTAACTCACTATTAAGCATTTTTGATGTTCTATGAAACATTTATACTAATCTTAAGAAAATTTGATTTTCTTCTAGTTCTTCATTTTGAGTAATGGTTGAAAACATTTTAAAGGATATGATTAGTTGGGCTATAGTTTGCTTGCTCTGGTACAGCCTTTAGAATAACCATGGCTTAAGCTCAACTGTTTATCCTTCTATCAAATAACAGTTCCAGAATAAGCCAACTAGTACACTCATCTGCCTTCCCTAGTGTGTTCATCTTATAAGCTGAAAGATGTTGCCATCTAGAATTATTACTGTGATGAGTGAAAAGTAATAGATTTAATGTGGACAACTATCAGCCTCTTCCACAGTCCCAAAGATTCAAGTGCTACTAGTCAAAATGCCACTAATCCCACAGTGAATATGTTTTCTGTCATAGCAGCCCTCTCTACAGGTCAACTACTCCCTCTTCACAGGTCAACTAATGGAACTCTAGGACTAGCTGAATGTTATGAAGTGATTTCTGTTGACTATGCCAAGACTCCACCCCTACCTGAATTCAATTGTAAAAAAAAAAAAATCTATCAAATATTAGAGAAATTCCAAATTTGGAGAAGTGCATAAAACTTGTTTATACAAACATTTTCAATGGTTTTCCCACTGCAAACAAGTGTTAGTTTCCAGCCTAAAGTGTATATGATTTCACAGCTATTTAAGGCTCTATTCTATGCATTTTTACAACCACATACCAAATTCTGTCATACTTAGGAAATAGTTGGGGCCGCTATGGAAGGGACTCCAATGGATGGTTAAAATAAGAAAGACTTTATTTCTTTCCCATGTTACAAGGCTATGGATGAGCTTTCCAGGGTGTATATGGAAATTCCACTATGTTGGAGACTCAGACCATTTCTAGTCCGCTTTTGTTACGTAACTTGTTGCCTTTGTTCTCACTATTCAAGAGACTTATGACCACCACATGATCTGCAATACAGCCCAGAGAGAAGGAAGGTGAAAAATAGCAACTCTTCTCTTATTTTAAAGTCATGATGCAGAAGTTGCACATATTCCCTTCACTAATATTACATTGTCCTGAATATAGTTATTTGGTTGCAAGGCACAAGCTGCAACCAGTCTCAAGGGAAACCAGGAAATGATGTTAATCACTGGTCAGTTTTAGACCCATCAAAAAATTGTTTTACTGTGGAAGAATGAAAGCACTAATTTGGGGGAGGGGGTGAAAGGCAACTAGGAGTTGTATAACAAAATATTTTTTCAAAATTCCAAAGTTGATAATATTTTAAAAATTATTACTATGCATAGACTATTAAATAGAATTAAAATATAATTCTATGTAAATGCATGCTTTTAGATCTTAATAAACTATACAAACGAGGATACATATATGTATATAAACAAAACTAATCAGTTAAATTTTAATTTTATCAATATAATGTGATAGATGATTTGTTTATCTTTTTATTGGTATTAACAAAAAATTATGTAACCTCAGGTTCAATTTTATATTTAATCTGTTTCTATATGTTAGAATAGTACAGAAAATGTCTATGTACGTAAAAATGCTTTATTAAATATTAGTGAAGTTTATGTTTATTTGTTAGTTATGTGAATTAAGAAAACACTCCTAACCAAAATACACTTTATCAATTCTCATATTCTATTTTGATGAAAAATGTTTCATCAGTTTGGAAATCATTATTCTTAAGAATTTTTCCAAGCTTTGTGTTCTACTGTAGAAATAATTAGCATTTCATCTAACTGAAATATGTATTAAGTCTAACTCAATTATTGCTGGAAGCCTAAGTCAAATTTTTCACTTTACTGATCATATTTCAATTACTTATAATGAACTGTTACAAAATAGCATAATAAAAATTGTAAAGTCTTTTGTTTCAAAATTAAGAGAGTGCTGAATGATATAATCTGGATTATTTTAAGTTTAGCATGTAACATTCATGCTATGTGAAGGCTCAGTTCTTCCACTGCTTTCTAGCACTTGAAATAGAAAAAAAACATCATACTTAAATTAGACTTGGATTTACATTTAACCAGAGCAAACATAAAGACAAATACAGGCATGTGTGGTGATATTTTGTGGCAATATCCATTGTAATTGTATTAGTTTTTAATTTAAATTAAATAACAGAAACAATTTTCAGGAGAGCTTGAGCACCCAAGAGAATAATCTCAGTTTAAGAATCTCTGACATGGTACAACCAGAAGAGACTCAGGGGCAGCTGAACCTGATGCTCATCCTTAAGGCTGACACAATTTGCTGGGAAGCAAGCCCAAGTAATTCAATGCAATTGAGAGACCCAGAATTGCCTAGATTACCTACATTTCTTTTTTAAATAAATAAACAAACAAACAATAAATAAATAAGTAAATCGTATGTACTTAAAGTTTAAACATGATGTTACAGGATACATATAGATAGTAAAATGGTTTAGAGAAACGTAGACTAGTATAAGACATCATTGATGCTCCAATTGGAATATGGATGTGAATGTATTTACATTAAAGCAGTGATGAGTGTATAATCGTGATGATGGCCCAGGAAAGAACAGAATTAGTAACAGTGAGTCATTGGACATATGATTATCTCCCATATAGTTATCCTAATATTTGCCATATTTACTTTAGAACTATTACAACCTTTTTTCTTTCTCAGATTATTACATAATAACAAAGACCATGCAAAGAGCGTATGAGTATTCTTAACAAGGTTATGGGTACAGTTCACCAATATGGGGTACCATTACTTGGTTTATGCTTAAACATACTGAGTTAAACATTTCATTTTGTATTTGGAAGAAAAATATATCTTTCATACTCTCAAATACACCACAGGTGGAAAATTATAATAATATTAAAAATGATTAAAAATGATAAAATGTTTTTAAAGTGATAAAAAATGAAATCATATAATATTTTTATGTTATTCTGATAAACTAACCCTATAACAAACACCTTAACAGTGGCTTAAGACAATAAAGTTTTGCTTCTCATTCATATCATGGCTAGAGGCCTGTACTAGAGCTTCTGGTGGCTGTTTACTAATTTCTTGGCTACTTCAAGGTAATTGCATTAACAGCTGGTGCATGCTTCGGGCTTGTACGCTGAACATTCAGTACGAAACTTGCTTCTTCAGTTTCTCCAATTATGTTATATGCCTCAAGCCTCCTGTATTAAATCTCCTCTTAATTAAAATACTTGGAATGACTTCGAGTTTTCTAAGCTAAGAAATGTGGCTGACCTTTGAGAATTAAAGAAATTTTATCACCGCAGAATAAAAGCATAGAGAATATTTTTAATTCTACAGGATTGACTAAGCTCCTCGGACTAGCAATCTATTTAACACAGTATTCGTATATATGAAGAGATGATCAGATCGGGAAATGCTCAAAATGAACTATAGAAACTATCAGCATTCAGAAAGAAAAATTATGGAGTGTATGTTGCAATCATTGTTTAAACAACAGAGATAAACAGGTGAATTTGTGTTCTCAATGAAGATGTGCAAATAGCATCAGACAATATCTCACTCATTGCTTAGGACTTTCTGAATCTTTTTGCTCTATCCATGTTTATTACAAAAGCAATTGCCAATTCTGCTGGTCAGATGTCTTGGAACTGGGAGAGGCATAACCTGAATAAGGAACTCAAGCATCTCTGTTATTGGAATAAATGATAAATGCTTTATAAATTAAGAATTTAATTTTGGTTACTATATATCTCTCATATGTTAGGGTGATATAATTACAAAATTCCAACCATTCTGGGCCATGTCTTAGCCTTTTTGGAAGTCACATAACTGGCCTTTTCATGGCAAGCCTTTACAATAAAACAGTGCTTTCCAAACACTAAATGTGCCTATCTAAATATTGTAAAATGAGAAAATATATTACAATTACTCATTTTATAAATGCTTTGTTGGAGTGTTATTATTCTTTCAAGAAACATACATTAGATGACAGGGGGTTAGGACCAAAAGCTTTATATGAAAGTCAAAAGAAAGATCAATTATGTTTCTATTTTATTCTCTTTGCATTTGCATTTGTTTTCTATCAATGTGTAAAAAATGACAACAAACTTATCAACTAAATTAGTATAAATGTAATTTTCTCACAGTTTCTGTGGGCCTGGAATCTGGGTAGGGGTTAGCTGGATTCTCTGCTGAGTTTCATGAGACTGAAATCAATGTGTTAACAATGCTGTAGTTCTCATCTGGGGCCCAGGGTCCTCTTGCAAACTCACTGCTTGTGGTTGGATTGCTGTTCCTGAACGGTTTCCTTGCCAGCTCTTGGCCTGGAAATCCTCGAGCTATTAGAAACTACCCTTATGTCAGCAGTTCACAATGTGACCATTTGCTTTTTTCCAGGCCAGCAGGAGCACATCTCTCTTATCTATTTCTGTAAAACCAGCTAAAGAAAACACTTCTGCTTCGACTCTCAGTTCCACCAACAATAATATCCTCTTTGCTGTATAGCACAACATAATACCAGCAGTGATAGCTTATTATATTCATGGGTTCTGTCTATGATCAAGGGGAATGTAGGGAGCAGCAATCTTGGAAGTTGTCTTAGAATCCTGCTTATCACAGCATTAGTTGTTAGTTATTAGTAATAATAATACAAATGTATTAGTTTTTGTGGCTTCAAATACATGTTTTATTTTCTTTTCTGAAGTTTAAATATACAGATTTTTAAGATAAATAATAAAATAAGACATAATGTATATTTAATAATAATGTGTCCGTCTGTATCTCTGGATGTAAACTAGAAAAATTGCCACTGTGATCAAATTTTGAGTTTTTCATGAGTTTAGCATTTGTGAAGCAGTTCAAATTTAGATTAATGCAATTACAATTTTTTATTACTCCAGTTTTCTTTTGGACCTTTGTCTGTCCAGGTATTTTAGAAAATTGAAGGTTCTTTAGTTTTCATTGAGGGCAAGTCTTTAAGTTAGGAAAACTTAATAGTCCTTTTCATTTTTCTTTATAGAAAGAAAATAAATTGTTGTAAATTAAAACTTTAAAGTCATTCCCATTAATATCCAGAATTCTGCTTAAAAGTTCTGTGTAAATATTATCTTAAAGTATATTTCTACTTTGTCTATAACTCTTTGTACAGTAAGTGTAATAAATGCTTTTTGTTATTGTTATTGTTCTTCTCATTCATTTATTTTTCCTCTGCTGACTCTTGGAAGTTTAGAATTAAAAATGTTATTTTAAAGTCCCACAAAGACATCCTGAAGGTAGACTACAGACAAAAGTTAGTTCATTAAACTTGCCTAGCAGTGCAGGAACATTTCTTTGACAGTGGTTCAGTAGTGTCTCAAAGTACGAGTTAGGGAAGTGAACTTACAGCAATTTAGGCAATGGACTCCATGGCATCAAGACTGTCCCAGATGGAGAACTGTTCAGAATGGGTAAACTAAGTAAGTTGCTATAATAGTCTTTTTCTTCTTGAAATATGTGGGTCTGTAAGAATTGCCATTCACAATTTGAACTTAAACACTTTATCACAATTGAAAGTTTGTGGTGATTCTTTGTGGAATAAGTAGTTGTGTTATAAAACAGAAAATTATGATATGCTCCAATTTCACTCTGTATAGAATACTGGTTATGACAGAAGTTGAAAAGAGGATGATATAGTAAGAAGTAGAACTAACTTATCTTGATATTTTGAAGAATATACACAGACGTCAATAACTTAATGAAGAGATTTCTATGTTTGCCATTTTTATGTAATTTTTTGTTTAGAACATTTAATCTAAAATAAAAGTAATAATTTAAGCTAAAATAATAGAAAGCAAATGAAGAAACACAGCAACAACCTTTCTAAAACAAAGGATGTTCTAATTTTGTATCATTTCTTGAGTTACTTCTTAGTAAGCATTATAATTACTGTGAAATAACACCATTGTTAAACGATCAGTCACAAAATTAGAGCTACCACATCTAGATGAAAGCCTTAAATTCACATGTTTATATATAATTAGTTTTGGTTGTTAAGATCCATTTTATGTACAAGTCTGGGAACTTCGTTAAAGCACTTGAACATATTGTTCATAGTTAATGATTGTGAAAACGCTCTACGTTAACACACATCAATCCAGAAAAATATAAAGTATGAAAGAAGAGTGCAACCAATATGCCAATATTTTTAGTTTTGGAAAAAAAAATCTAATACTTTCTTAAAATTAAAATGTTTCACAAATGCTTTCACGTTGTATTTGTGATTTGTTGTTCTTTGTTTAAAATTGAAATGAGATACATATACTAGTTGAGGTTTGTTCCTAAAATTCTGTATGCTATATGACTACATGAATATAGAGTAGCAGTGAAACTTAAGTTGTTTCATTGAATTTGGATTAACTAGGATTTGTCTCTGATTGATTATTGTGATTCCTGATACAAATAATATTAAAGTTCATTTTGACAGGAATTGACATTTATGTTTCAGGAGACAACATTTTCTCATTAATACTTTATTGAATCATGATTACTTGATTAGAATAATTCTGGAATAATAAACCTCTGCATGTCCTTTAAAAATTGATCTTTTAACCTTATTGAAACTTTTATCATTATTAATATTATTATTTGCTATTTGTACTGCAAGTAGAGGAGCTCTTTAAACTTTCTTGAAAAGGACACCATGAAGGTATTCAAAATTACTGAGAAATTCCTAATTCATTCTCAGTAATTTTTTTAAAAGTTTAACTTACTTCTTAGAACAGATTCATCCTGTAACTGGTGTTGCTTAGCACCTTGGACAGTACAGCAGGTTTTAAAGCTAGAAAAACAGATTTGTTTTCACCGTTTTTTTGCTGGCTGAAAGTAATGATGTAGAAAGGATATCCTTGGCCTAATCTGAAGCTGCTTTAATCAATAGAATACTTGTTCCATAATGAATCTGCACATCCTAAAGCACTTTGCTTTGGGTTTTCTTTAGACAAAATGATACCAGTAAATCAATATTCAAATTAGCTTCTAATCTGATTATGACTAGGGGAATCCTAAGAGATGTCAAGTAAGAGATCAACAAGAGACCATTTGACTGAGTAATTTCATCTTCCCAGGTGATCTCTTCTTTTAAATAAGTAGTAGTTTTCTTACAAAGGAGGAAATATTTTCCTTGGTTAAAAGTCACTGGTGACAGTTGCAGGGTTAGATTGTTGCCTTTCTAAGCTTCTCAAAGACATACACACATTACTAGTTTATGAATAATCAACAATAATTTGTAAGATATGGTTTTAAGAATGATATAGCAGTAATAATACCAAAATGATGAGCAAATGTTTAAAGTAACATTTTAGAAATGTTTTCTCATGACTTTAAGAGTAAAGTGAGAAATCAGATACTTAGTTCCACTTTCCTACTTTGGAACATCCTTTTTTTTTTTAAACCATCTTATTTCTTTCGTTTAGTCTCTTAGCACAGGACAACTCTTTTCAAAAACATATAGTCTGCTTACAATATCTACATATGTGTCTTCAGACACTGTACGTATCTCTCCTGGTGCTTAAAGAGTAGACAGTGAGCATCTAATTGTTACATCTGAAAACAACTGTTCTAGTCATTTTATGCTTTTGTTATAATGTTATTTCAAATGATCAAGAAAAGTTGGAGATTTGCCATGGAATATTTATCATTTCAACTTTTCTTGCAGATGCAACTCTTTTATTTCTGAGTCAAGGATATTAATCAATGGAAGAAAAGAGCTGTCTGTTGTCATATCTGCATTAGGGTCTACTCCTGAGTTCTGTATAAAAGTGTTTAAGAGCATACGTCTGAAGTATGATATAATGATATATGTCTTTTCACAGGAAAGACTTTGAGGATAGTCACCAAAAATAGTGTCCAACACCAAGATTTTCAGCTTTTGTAAAAGCTCTTGGTTTCTTGTGAAATTTGGGCACACTTAAGTTATCCTCGCATCTTTCCACTGTACCATTTCTTTTTTCCTCTGTCTGAAATCCTACAAATACATAAACAAATAATGTAGATATAGGATCCTTATATTTGTTATAAATGCTTCTGTAAATTTCTGTTTTGTCTAAGCTTTGGAAAAACAAATGCTTATCACATCAGACCAAGATCAAGCTTAACATGCTCTTTACAGAGCTTACTGCATTCTGAAAGAGGTTTAGCTTTGACAGGCAATTTAGTTTGGGAAGATAAGGGATGAGCAGAAGGGAGTAGAAGTGGGTCACAAAAAGAAATAATAGTATAAGGCAAGAGATTTGTAGAGGAAAGCATGAGAGGAATTGCATGATAAAAACAACTAGTTTCAGATTACGATTAGTGAGAATTTAAGAGAGATAATTTTAAGTCTTTCACAGGTTTCATTTCTATTAGCTAGGATTGTTTTATAGGTCACAATTTTAAAATCTGAATTTCTGTAAGAAGTAAACTCATCCTATTAGAAAATCTATACGTTTGTACATTTGCAATTTTGCTATAATTACATTCAAAGGTGTTTTCTCTAGTATTTTCAAAAGTAGCCTCATCCATTCTAAGTAATTGTTAATAAAATAATGCCATTTAGAAAGATAGTCATACAAATTAAAATTAGAATTATTGTCTAAATATATGCAGGGTGTAGAGGACACATGAGTGTAGACAGAGCTAACCCTAAGATCGTCAATAAAAATGGTACTTGAATATCTATACATTTCTGGAACCTGAGTAAAGATCAATTATCACCAACTGGCAGCCTGACAAGATTCCCACATCTGGTCAATGAAAACTAAATACAGAAATCCTAAGGGACACAAAGAGGAAAATTCTTACTGGATGTTGAAAAGATTAATGAAGACAGAATTTGTCCCCGTGATACTGGTCTTACAAAACCATCTGAATTGTCAGTCTTTGTGGTAGGTTGAGTACAGACTAGTAAAGCCCATGTCTGTATTCTTTTTTTACAGATTACCTCTGACAAACTTATCAAACACAGTGGAAAGAGACAGAAACCAACAGTAGTGTGGTAATCTAGAATGAGTTTTTACAAAGAATTTGAGCTTTAAAATATGTTTTGTGAGTAAAAAAAAAATGTCTATGAAAAAGGTCTTCTAAGAAACGAAAATAAAGTGAGCATTTGGAAGCTTAACAAAAATATTTCAGATCTCAGAACCAAAACTTGACATATTAATTGGTGAGCTCAAAGAGAACTCTGCTTAGGAAGCTTAAGGGGGCCTTAAAAAGGGTTTTGCCCATAGTAAAATAATCTAATAATTGTCAATTTCCCAAAAGATGACCAGGAGAAACACACACACACACAAACACACACATGAAAATAAACAAACAAACAAAAAAAAACTTACGGTCAAGCAAAACATTAATGCCAAAAAAAACCCCAGGTTATCTTAACAGATTTTTTAATGACTTTAACAAAGAGAAAATAGTGGAAGGTAGGATTTGGGGCTCCTAACTCCAAGGTGTTCTAAAGTTGGACTTTCATGGTAAGAACCTGATAGGGACTAAAAAAAGAAATCACAATTATAGGTGAAGATTGGTGGACCAGGGAAATGAGCATCTTCTAGCAAGTTTTAACAAGAGAAAGGTTTATGTGAACAATCCACTGTTTTCATAAGAAAGCTTTTGCCGGGAAGAGTAAATGGTGTATGTGGATAAACATGTTTGCAAGATGTTCCTGAAATGGATAATGATATTATTGATTAGTTTGCATTCTTAATATTCTGGACAATACTTTCATGGAACAAATAGTCAAGTCATGCTGACATGTTCCAGTTCTCAATCTCAATAACTACATCATGTTAATTCAAGTGGTTTTAATTCTTAGAATGAAGATATCTGAAACCATTGATCATGAGGTACAATTACGTGGTTCATTATTTTCACTGAAAAGAAATTTTCAAATTATATGGATATTTAGTATTTATCATGTTAATCATAATTTTTCCTTTTTTAAATAAAATTTTTAAAATTCTTGTTAGTACTAAGTGACTTTGGAATTCTACAAATAAACCTTATTTGATATATTTATCTTGATATATGTCATATATTTTAAAGATCTATTTTGATATATTTATATGTTATATATCTGTAAGTTTATATTTGCAAATACTTTATTTGAAATTTTTATTTCTACCTTTATTTTATCTATTTGATGTTACATTTAAATATTTTTACTCTAAATAGTATCTTTAAAATACATTTATGAATTATAAGTCTGTCATTTTTTTCTATGCTTTAGACATGTTTTAAAACACTAGCATTGAAATTTGTGGTCTTTAAAGATATATTAAAATTTTTAGCTGGTAAAAATAATTTTAGACTTACACTGAAAAAGGTAAAAGTTAAAATAAAAATAAAATTTCCTTATAAAAACACACTTATTCTTGATATTCAATCATGTCAGCCTTTCTGTGGCTTCTTAAATAAATGTTAGTTGTTTACCTAGACATTTTATATCAAAGATTTCAAAATATTTAGTATATAGTAACATGAGTATATGTGTGTATATTTAACTTAAAAATATCTCTGCTCTATTAGTGTTTGTCAATTTCCTCTAATTATAAACTGTTTTTATTTGGATTTTAAAAATTGTATTTACATAGATACTTTAAATCCTCTAGGGACTGTAATCAATATTAGATCAAATATAAATCTAATATTGATTTATATTTATACATTTAAAATGTATAAATATAAATTTTAAAATGTATATTTATAAAGACTTTTAAAACTTCTTACTTTATATTTTCCTTAGGTCTAAATCATTGTTCATTTTGTAGTTATATTAAATAATCAAATTGATACAATTTTATTATTTTTGTTTTATAATAAAAATATTAATGCAATATATATTACTCTAAATACAGCTTTGGAATCCTTTGATAAATTTAATTAGATAATGTCTTAACTATTAATACTTTGTAAATGTAGAAGACATAGGCAAACTGTAAGAAATCAGATATATACAAACACAATTTTTATGCTGGATAGATAACAAGAAATGCTGGATATCATAGTTATTAATCCAGAGGTGAAGGGACAGAGAACTGGAAGCAGCATGAAGATTCACTGTTTACTTTCTATTGTCTATACAATATACACATTACTTTCATTTAAAAATGTGTGTGTGTTGAAGACATGGCTACAATATTCTGGGTCCCTGACATACATGAAAGAGCATAAGAACTTCTTACCTATGGTCAACAATGTGCTTGTTATTAAAGCATTCAAGATTTTATTTCCAACCCCATCACAGTTGTGCTTAATTTGATCAAATGGTCAGCTAAGTTGCCAAAGAGCCTATCACATATTAAATATTCAATAAATAGTACTAATTGTAGTTTGTCTCCATATTATAACCAGGTTAAGAAAATAATTTTTTTTCATTTTATTCTATGAACATTTTATTTGGCAAATCATGGCCAAGTGAGTGTACTACATTTAAAGAGATATTAATAAAGTTAGAACATCTCCAGGAGAAAGGAAAAGAAGTGCAGGAAGATATGCAAGGAGAGAGAAGATAGAAAGAGTGACTCAAATATCTTTTCTTTCTAGTTGTAAGTTTAGTAGAGTAGGCTGTCCATTTCAGAACAAAACTTATTTATTCCAATCTCATCTCTGAAATCAGGCTATGAATCAACAAAATTTTGCTTTGTCTTTAACTCACTATAGTTAAATAAGTGAATATATCTATATGCTTTCTCTTAATTTATATTTTAAATATTACTACAAATTTAAAATGAAAAGCTTACAAATTAGAAATAATTTCATTAATGCAAATGCAGAAATTTTTAAACAAATATTTTGATGTATATTGCAATATAGAACTACTTCTTATGAGGATTCTATGATGACTGTGTCTTGGTTATGACTTAACTGACTTATAGAAGCATCTCTACTCCTGCCATATCATATGTCTTGTGATATTGTGAATAAATTTTAATAAATTATATTAATAAATAGTAAGAACTCTTTATTGAGTGTCCACTAGTGACTTAACAATTCACTAAGCACTCTGCATACATTATTTTAATTAACCCTTTCAGTAGCTTGCTAAAGATAATTTGAGGCTCATTTTCTCAGTGAATAAATTAATGCTTAGAGGAATCAAGTGATTTTCCTAATGGTCTGCATTTAGCAAGTGCTGCAACAAGAATAAAACTTATATATCCTACTTTAAAGTCTGGTTTCTCAATCACTTAAATATACTGCCTTCTTACATTGTCATTTTTCTGACACTTTCATAACCAGTTTAACTTTTACCACTGTAATTTTTTACTTTTAAAGTAATGGTATCCAACAGCATTTTCTGCAATAATGGAAAGATCTGTATATTCTCCATCCATTATAGTAACCATGGCCACATGTAGCTATTAAGCAGTTGAAATGTGGCTATTGTGGATGAGAATGCAAGTTTAAAATTATATTTATTTATATTTAATTTAAAGAAAAATAGTTACATGTGGTTAAGGACTCTCATATTGTGCAGTCCAGTTCTAGAATAGAAGTATCCCTTCTCTTAAAATACTGCTATTGAAATAAAACTAATCAAGTGCAATAGTTAGGGAAATATAGGGAAATAATAGTAAAAATTAAAAAGGATGAATTCCTGGATTCCTTTTGATGATTTTCATGCCCAATTATGTGTTGTAATACATTGGTCAATAGTTAATAGGAAGGCCATTATATAATCATTTTATTATATGTCTATATATTTTTCACAAAACAAGTATGTTTTGTGAAACATGATGGAATTTTTGGAAGCTTGCAAGATATAATCGTGTATATAAAAAAGATACACATACATATAGATAGGTATATAGATACCTATAGGTATATTTAATTCTTTTTCTTTTAGGATGGTTCCTCAATATCATCAAATCAATCATATACCAGTAAGTAGAAAACTTGGATAGATGTTAAAATGCAATTAATAGTCTTCATATTTATATTAATTAATCATACAGTGGGTTTTTGTTTCTTGATCACTGTGTATTTTTAAATCTTGAAGTTTGAAATGTGTCAGTTTGTCTCTACTCCTTTTTTTACTTAAAGTCAAAATTGTATAAAATGTAATTTTCATCATTATTTTCAGGACTTTTTATATTTCTGCTAATCATGTAGTAGCTCTTGTTTCTTATGAACTGAGCATTTAGACATTTGAAGTAAGTTCATTTACCGTATCAAGGCTTTCTAAAAGTTCCAGTAAATAGAATTATTTTTAAAAATAGAAGATTTTCACAATGAGAATTCTATACAGAATTATATCAGGTAAATAAACTTTTGTTTACCTAACTGCTGGTGTTAATTATAGAATCATTTTTATATCAAGAATACAGCCACTTAGTAGCTCTGTATGAGTCATTTGTTTTACATAGTGGATAAATTATTTTTTTCTATTCAAGCACTAAATTTTATTTGGTTTAGAAAATCTGATAAATATTAATGTCATATGAATATAGCATAGTATTCAGATATAATTATCCAATATATAAAGGAGGTTGGAGCATGAAGCAGTCCTGAAATGCCAGCCATAATTTGAAAGACTGTTAACTCTGGTGCAGATATAATGAAGATTTTGCCTTGTGAGGTGATTTATCCCCCACCTTAGACAAGCTACTTTATCCTCAGAAACTGTGACTGGACTGTTAATTATCTCAAGTTGAAGGTGTAAAGACTTCCAATTAAGTTAAATATCATTCAGTTTAATATCAAAAACAATGAACTTATCCATTAAATGACAATGTAAAATTATAACAAACTCTGAGAGATATTTTTCTCTACTTGTCTTGATAAAATATATTTTAAATATGATTACTAATATCATAAAGAAAACCGATTACATATATATGTACATATACACACACAAACACGCAGGTGACCCTTGAACAACATGAGTTTGAATTGCACAGGTTCATTTACATGCAAAATTTCTTCAGCCTCTGCTAACCCTGAGATAGCAAGACCAAACTCTTCTCTTCCTCCTCAACGTCCTCAACATGAAGATGGAAATGAAGACCTTTATGATGATCCACTTCCATTTAATGAGTAGTAAATATATTTTCTTTCTTATGAGTTTCTTAATAACAATTTTTCTACCTTACTTATTCTAAGAATGTAATATATTTATAATTACATATAATATACAAAATAAGTGTTAAATTACTGCTTATGTTATCAGTAAGGCTGCTGGTCAACAGAAGGCTATTAGTAATTTTTGACAGTCAAAAATGATACATGATTTTCAAATGCACAGAGTGTTGGAACCCCCAGTCCCCATGCAGTTCAAGGGTAAACTGCATAGTTTCTTTATAAAAATGGGAATTGTGGCTGGGTGCGGTGGCTCACGCCTGTAATCCCAACATTTTGGGAGGCCAAGGCGGGCGGATCACCTGAGGTCAGGAGTTTGAGACCAGCCTGGTCAACATGGTAAAACCCCAACTCTAGTAAAAATACAAAAATTAGCTGGGTGTGGTGGTGGGTACCTGTAATCCCAAGTACTCCAGGAGGTTGAGGCAGGAGAATCGCTTGAATCCAGGAGGTGGAGGTTGCAGTGAGCTGAGGTCGCTCCACTGAACTCCAACCTGGGCAAAAGAGCAAGACTCTGTCTCAAAAAAAAAAAGGAATCCTGTATTTAAACGACCTGTATTAAACTAGTGGCAATCCTCTACATATCCATAAAGAAAATATTTTTGATACTGACTTAAGCCAGGCACAGTGGTACGCCCTGTAATCCCAGCACTTCAGAGGCTGAGGCAAAAGAATCCCTTGGGGCCACAAGGTCGAGGCAGTGAGCTGTGATCTTGCCACTGCACTCCATCCTGGGTGACAGAGCGAAACCCTGTCTCAAAAAAAATGAAAAGAAAATCCCTTAACTTTGAATTGCATGAAAATCAAATTTTTTATTCATAGAAAAAAAGCCAAGGTCATTATTGCAAACTGCATTTTCCTAATAAAGAATTTTACGAAGTGAAAGTCAAGTCATGTATAAAAAGATTTTTGTAATGAATACACTGAAAAAGTTTTAGAGAACTAAAATAAATATTTCATTATGTCAACGGAAAAAAAGGTTAAAAATCCACAAATAATGAGAAGAGATATGATAAGTATTTTATGGTACAGGCAAGTGGACCATCCTAATTACTGAAATGTATTAAATAATATTGAGAAATTATATTATATTCACTAGACTAGAAAAAATAAAGTGGATTTTAAAAAACTGGTGATGTTGTGAAGTAGCAGAATCTTTTATATATTCTCGGTGAGAGGATTACCACATACACTCTAAGATGTAGTTCTCTTTTAAACTCGTACAGAATTTACAAAGAACATGCTCACTGAGACATCTGCTATGAATTTCTGCCACATTTTTGAACCAGTAGACAACAGAGTGGGTATTACCTGCAATCACGGTTTACCTCACTATCTTTTGCCTTTATCATAACTGCCTGGGGTTTGCAGATATTACCTAGAATGTTAATATTGTAATCATCGCCTTAGGCTTTGGTTTCTAAAGGATCCTGGCTAAGACGACTAGCGAAGTTCAACACAAGTATTATATATCTTATATCTCAGCAACTGTACCCATGAATATAATAACCCTTTGAGCAAATCTTGAGCACAGGAGCTGGAAACAGTACAAGATTATTTAAAGCAACTTCTCCTAAAAGAATAATATGAAACTTTGAAAATGTCTCTATCAATTGTACAATTAATAAGCATAGTAAAGTCAAACAATAGATTAGTATACACAGTGGATAATGAATTGAAAACCACACATTTTTACGTGAATATATCTACAAACCAAAATGTTTAATTAAGTAGAAGCCACAGAGGAATTCACAGAGTGTGACTGTATTTCTTTAACGTTCAAAATAAAGTATCAAAAGCAAAACACTGCTTAAGAATAGTTATATAGGAGCCAAAAAACCAACAACAAGAAAGTGAGAACATAAAATAAAGAAAATGATTATTTTAGCAGGAAAGGGGGTGTAATCAGAGGGTACACGGCAGGGCACTAAGTTACCAGTAATGGATTTGCAACAACATAGAGGTTCAGCCTCATGAGTCACAATCCAGACTGTGGTAGGAGGATTAAGGATGGAAAAACAAAGGTTTCTGTGCACATACAAAAAAGTGACTTTACACATTATAGCAAAATGCTGAAAGTGAAAAACAAAAGGAAATTTTGAAGACAGCAAGAAAAAATGACCTGTCAAGTACAATGGAATTACAATAAGATTATTATCTGACACCTTATCATAAACAGTAGAGAGTAGAATTTCATATTCAAAGTACTGAAAGAACAAAATTACTTATTAAGAAACTCATAGCCCCAAAACTAACTTTCAAAAATAAAGGCAAAATAAATGACATTCCAGGATAAAATAAATAAAAAGACAATCCAAGATAAACAAAAGCTGATAGTATTAATTGCTAGCAGATCCACCTATCAAACAATATTTTTAAAAGTTCTTTAGGACGGTAGCGGCAAGTGATTCAAGATGATACTTTAAATCCACCTGAAACAATGAAGAGCACCGTTAAAGATGATTACGTAAATATAAAAAACAATAAATATTTCTCTTTTTTTTTCTCCTAACTGATTTATAAGGCAGATAATATGTCAACAAGAGCATCACTGAGCATATAACATGTAGGAACATAATACACATTATGATAACAAACAAAATGGTATTGGAATATAGAAATAATACCAGACTGTAACTAATGTCACAAGACCAAATAAAGAAAATCAGAAATGGGAAATAATAAGGTTTATATAACAAAAGCAATAAATATATATTTGTTAATTTTTCTCTCAGATTCTTTAACATATATATTATTATATGAAGTAATAAATGTAACAATGTATTATTCGATTATAACATATATAGCTATAATAAATATAACAAAATTAACATGCAAAGGAGAAGAGAAATAGGGCTACTAAAATGTAATGTTTCTATTTTTAAGTGAAATTAAATTAGTATAAATCTAAACTAGACTCTGTCAGTTAAGATGGATATAGGAAGCCCTAGATCAGTCATTAAGGAAATGCTCAAAAATATATTGTAAAATAATCAAGAAAGGAAATAAATAATTGCACTATAAAATACTCACTTGATGGAAGAGAAGGCATTAAAGCAGAAATAGGAAAACATCAAGAAAAATACCCATTCAACATAAAGAAAACAAAAGTAAGATGACAGATGTAAATTGAACTGTATCAATAATAACATTTAATGGGAAATGATTAAACAATCAAAACAAAAATCACTGGTCATCAGAGTTGTTTTTTTTTCTTAAATCCAATTAAATGTTGTATACAGGAGATACACTTTAAATTCAACAATGCAAACAGGTTAAAACTAAAAGGATGTAACAAGTTATATCATGCAAACAGCAACATAAGAAAGCCGAACAAGCTACATTTGTGTCAAATGAAAAAGTTCAAAACAAAAATAGTAAACTATTATAAGACATCAAGAGGGATATTTTATAATGATAAAATGATCAATCCATCAGAGAGGTATAACAATTATATATAAACCTAACAACAGAACCCCAAAATACATGAAGGAAAAACAGACAGAATTGAATGAAAAAAGAGACAACTCAACAATAAAAATTGGGGCTTTGAATACCCCACTTTTAACAATGGATAGAACAACTATAAAGAAGATCCACAAGGAAATATAAGACATGAACAACACTAAAAATCAAGTAGACCTAACCAATACTTTATTAAACATCACAATCAAAAAACACCCATGGGACATTCAAAGGCCATATGCTGCACTATAAAACAAGCTTTAATAAAGAAGTTGAAGTGTATATGGAAGCCTGCAGTAATGCAATATTTTCAATATTTATTAATTATGATTATAGAGATTGAGGCCCAAGGACTGAAGAGTAAGAGATAAAGTAGGAAAGACATATGATGATGGCCATGTCCTAAGAATGCTTGTTTAAAAGACAAGGGACATAAGAGATACAGAACATGAGCTAAATATTAACTGGGATTTTAATCCAGTCTTGATGGCAGTGGCTGCTGCCATCATGCTGGCTACAGTAGAGAGGCATGGCTGGGGCAGTGACTCCATGGTGTTGGTGGGAGCCCTAACCATGCTGGGCAGGGCTATAGCTGCCCAAATGGAGGCTGCGGATCTGAGACTCCCTGTGCTCTTGGAGGGGACCAGGAGCAGGCAGGATCCACCAAAATGGTTGTAGCTGCAACCACACAACCCACGGCTGGAAATCTGTGCCTCCCACTCCATAGAGCAAGCAAGAGCTACGGACAAGCAGGAACCCATTCCAAGTTGGCAGGGCAGGGGCTCCGCGGGTGCAGCTGTGGCTGTCCTCCCAGATGCAGGACCTGGACATCTCTGCAGCCTGGACCTTTGGGGGCCCCCAGAAAGGACAACCCCAGCCACCACCCAGATCTTCATCCTTGCCTGCTTGGGGGTGTCTGCTTCTGCCGCCTAGCCTCTCTCTGCTCCTGGTACTGGCTTCAGCCCTGGGGCTATGAATAACAGTGGGCAAGCAGATTAATTCCTAGGTGGAAGGGGATGAATTCCCAGTAAGGCCCCATCTTCAGACCAGGGAGGGCCTGAAGGCTGGGATTCAGGCTGCCACTCACACCTGACTAGAATGGGAACTCATGATGCCTCTTCTTGCCCACCCAGGGCCACCCATGAGCCAATCAGCAGGTGCCTCCTCCCCTTTGAGGACCATAAAAGCCCTGGACTCAGCCAGAGCAGGGCAGAGGATGGCCAGAGAACAAAGAGGGCAGAGACGTGATGGGACTGGAAGACCAGCTGCTGAGAGGAGTACCCTCTCTGTTGATAGCTGGAGATGATGGGAGGACCAGCTGCAGAGAGGAGTACCCTCTCTGCTGAGAGATGCTGAGACCAGGGAGCAGAAAGGAGCTACCCTCTCCACTGAGAGCTTCAGAGACCTGCAGAAATGTCCCAATAACCTGCTACAGAGAAGAGCTACCCTCTCCAGGGCCTCCTTTCTGCAGAAAGCTGAACACTCCACAGGACAACCTGCCTACAGAGAGGAACTACCCACTCCTCTGAGCTGTTCTAATACTAAATAAAACTTCTTTTTCAACTTTCACTTGTCTGTGTACCTCATACTTCCTGGACCAAAAAACTTGGGCTAAGGCACCATAGTCACAGAGGTCTCCAGCCAGAAAAATTACACCCCAGTGATCCTGTAACAATCTGAGGCTGTGAGGTTTATCAATTATATATTTTAAGAATGAATATCATTGGTAAGACTTGCATTAGCGGAAAATTTAGGTGTAAGTAAGAGAAAATCACTTGGGATGGCTTTTTAAAATGAGACTTTTTGGTAAGGATACCTACAAAGTATCCCATGGCAGTTCCAGGGCAGGAACGCAACAGGACTGTGGAAAACTGGAACTAGAAATAAGAGCAATATCGAGAACTCAGACATTATGCTTTCTGTCATGCTTCTTTTTCTTTGTGACTTCAATTTTGCTTACCAACCTCTATAGACTGGCTCTATCTATTTGCTTTCATATAGCCAAGCTCAGATTGCACCTTTTTTCACCATTCAAATTGAGGTAAATAGAGTAATTTAGTCCCAATCCTGAAATACTGAAGAAAAGATTGTGACTGGATTAACTTGGATTAATCCACTGAAGGCAGCTGATGGTCACAGTACAAACACAGCCACTCAAATCACCTCAAAATGGTCTGATACAAGTCATGAAAATGATATAATCCAGAGGTTACAGCTATAAATGTAAGATAAAATGATGAAAAGGAAAAAACAGCAATTATAAAAATAGATTATACAATAATAAATACTTTACAACAGAGAGAAAATACAGTGGAAATTGGATTTATAACTTGCAAAAGGCAGCTAACAGTGACAAATTATCTTTCTTAGTGAACACACTATCAATAAGCCATCATCTACCATCTTTCATATAATCTTGACCCAGGCTGACCACAGGAATTCTAACTTTTGAGTTCCATGCTCTGTATATTGCACATGCCATGTGATATCAGAGTTTTTATAATCATTTCTCAGTATCTGAGCTAGAAACAATATATTGATATGACAAAATTAGAAGTAGAAACAAACATACAAATAAATTCATGGGTAAGTAAATAACTTTCACTTTAAATGTAGTTTAATTTGGCTTTTAAAGACAAATTTTGATTTCTCCTAAGCAATTATAAATGAGTGTATGAGATCTGTGATGAAGAGCTAGTGAGCAGGTGGTACAAGTATACAAGCTGTCAAACAAACAATTGGGATAAAATGTTACAAATATTCCTTTTATTCTATAATATATGAAAATAAGACAAGATATTCACATGACAACAGCTGATAGTTGTTTCCTAATAACATGTTCACAAATGTCTCTTCAAGGTTAATGATGAATTTTCATTAATTAAACTTTGTTCTTCGATATATGCAAGGTTATAATGTCAAATCAGAAGAAATTTTAAAGTGCTACTTTGATAGTCAAAAATGTCAACTATTCCTCATTGTGTTTACATTCATAAGTAGAAGTAGATTTTTAGAGCCAGGCATACAATGAATTAACAACTATATGTGTTATTTTGACTCAGATTTTTGCTAAAATAGATTTTTTAATGAGTAGATTAATTGGCTATTCTTCAACAAAGTCATATTTAAATTAATTAAGATGTTTGTTGTAATAAAGACATTATGCTTTAACACATTTGAATGAATAAAAAATAATTATACTATAATTAAGGAGCTTCATTTCAAAGAATACAACATAACCTGAAGTTTATAAGCAACAATCCCTTCGAAGTAACTTTCTCCAGCTGGCCCCAGAGAATCCCCGTTTGACAGACGGAAATAAGAAAAGCCGTAAAGGAAAAGCGATGTTTTCGGCATTATAGTAGCATTATGAAATTTCCAGCATATGGTAAGAAAATAGATGCATTTCCAAAAATGCTGACCTTCTTCATATATTTCTCCTGATGTCATAAAACCTTATAGTTAGCAAAACAGTCTATTAAAATATGAATATAGATCATATGATTCCAATTCTAGAGAAATTATAATTTTCTCATCCAGTTCTAAGGTCCACTATTACTCTCTTTGATTTTGTAAAGAGGTGCATGTGTGTATTTGTGTGTACTAAATGTTCTATATAACGTATTTTTGAGGAATTTTATCTAAAATGTCACAGCTGTTGCTTTGCCACAGTGTTTGAAGACATCATGGCTATCAGCCCTCCCATGTATTTTCACTAAGCTCTGGCTTATTCATACAAGTGCACTAATATTTTGCATGCCTTCCTATCATAAAAAATCTTTCTTACTAAATATCACATAAATCTCTTTGTCAAGTAACTGAGAGTTGAACTGAGAACAAAAATATAATGAAAAAAGGGGCAACATTTTACAGATAAATGTCTTTGCCAGGGAAGTTGTATTTTTGTGAATGAGTGTCATGTTGCAAACCACGTGAAGGTTACTGAAAGACCAAGAGTACTGCCACTGAAAATGGTAAGGAAGGTAAAAGGGCACTTGGCAGATGCATTATGTCTGTGTTTATGAGAAAACTCATCTTGGAAAAAGAATTTTGACCTGGAGGATATATGAAGACACAACAATTACTATCAATCTATGTAATAAAAAAAAGTTTAAAAAAGACCTTTAATTTTCCACTAAATTTGTTAAATTATTCCTATTTCCTCTGGTTCCATGTACTGTAAAAACTGGTACGAGTAAACTTTAAAGTGTAATATATAAGGGAATGTGTAGGTAGATAATGTATTCATGATAGCGTAATTATGATCATTTAACATCTAAATACATTTCAAAATCTTGGGAAAACTAGATTTTTCTGTCTTTATTAAGTATTTCACTTCTTTCAGTTCAAGAAATCTAGTTTCAGCTAGCAGGAATTACTTTTCAATGTGGTGTGCACTCCCTTTTCCTTACTTTTCTTGGGAACTAACCTCAGGAGCCACAGAAGATGTCATTGTTCACAAAAAGCAGTTTCTGGACATCACATTTTGGTTTCACGAATTTCTTCCACCTCTTCCTTTTTTGCTTCCCACTTTTTAGGATAAGTCTTTTATTTAGAACAAACAGTCTAATATTTCTTTACTCCGAGTTCTTGGAGATTTTCCTCTGAGACATAAGCTACTCACAAAAGCCTTTAAATCTGTGTGTTTTCTAGCTTGCTTTGTATTTTCTTCAGTGTGGCTGACAGCTTTGTTAGTATCAGTGAAAACTTCAACAAAACCCCTACCCTAACTAATCGAAATAATTATTTCCAAGGCAAGAAAGAAATGCCAATTATAAAGCAGTGCTATGTTTATGGTTATAGGCAGACACCTCGCAATACAACTGCTGCATATTTACTTCATGTATTAAGGGCAGCCATGCACAGCAAGAATAGGAATCCAGTGAGGTGAGACATGAAGCTTCTGTTGGTAACAGTGCAGATCAAATTTCTGGTAAATTGTAAGGTGTAATAATGAAAAGAAGAACAGGAGTAGAATGCAATGAAAGTAAAGCACAAATAAAAAATAAACATATCCTAATCCATGGAGCATGTTATTATTTTTAATATAATAAAAATCTGGAACTTTTTAAAGAAAGTACTGTTGATATAAAATAGCTAATGATGTATAAAAATATAGTGTTTCAAGTCACGTAAAACCCATATTCTTTTATTAAGTAGGGTAGCACTCTCTAGGTGCTGTAATAAACAGTCCCACTATTGCAGTTGCTTAATACTATAAAATGTTTATCTCTTACCAATTTCCAATACAAGTTAATGACTCCAGGTTGTGCTTCTGAGATCTGGCTTCATTTATATGAGTTCTCTAAACAAGGGTCCTTTACTTTCCCCCACACAAGAAATATTTGATAGCTGTTTGATACTATTCCATGGTATGGAAAAAATTAGATCTGAAATTGTTTTAGAATTCGTCTGCCTTCCAATGGTGAAGAGTTGATGTGAAGATACCATGAAGTTTTTAACCTTGTGTAAATTCACCAATTAAATCCTCAATCAGCCATTGGATTCTCTCAAGTTAAAACAAAACAAAACAACACTGAGTGAAGATTTTTGCATAGAAAACATTTCATCAATCTGACCTATTGGCCATGTAAATTTAATGAGACTAAAATTTAATGAAATATTGACTGAACCACAGCAGTCCACCATATTAAAAAAAATAGGAAGTCCAATTACATTGTCTAAAATAAAATCACTTCTGAATGTATTATTTGAAACATGCTTGAATTTTGTCAATGAGAATATCTGGGTATTAAACATGACTGATACATTTTTACTTGGTCTTTTTTATTTTACCCGATTTATTTTCTCCAAGTAATAAATAGTAATTAATATTCCCCATGTTATTTTTAATTGATGAAAAGTTGTTAAACCAAACAGAACAAACATACGTACTGAATTGCCTGAAACCATCTTAGTCTGTTCCTTTCACCCCAGTATAATTATTAGCTGCGGCCTCTCTGACTCCCAAGAGTATCACAATGGAAAATAAAACATTTTTACAATAAGAAAAAGTAGGATTCATTGCACTCAAAATTCCATGACTTTGCTTAATATTATATTTCAAAAATTCATAATCCAAATAATATTGAAATATTAAACAATTGTTTTCTTTTTGCTTAAACAAATATTATAATAAAATGGAACTTAAACAGCAGATGCTGTATATTTGGTTTTATAATCCTCAGGTGTTAAATTTATTTTTATTAATTTATATGATTTTATATTTTTATATTGGAATGTAAGTCAGAACTTTTTCCATGTGGATACTGTCATGACATGTGGCTGAATTGCCAGATAGTATGGCTTTTTGTTAAATATTATACATTATATATTATACACAGTGGAATGCACATATTATATGGCTTCATTAAATAATGATTAGAATATTAAACACAATAGTGCTTAAAGGAACCAAAGAGTTGTATAACTATCATGTGCTTATTTGGCATTGTAAATTAGATTCTGACCAGAAGTTCATTTTTCAAAAGTAGTTACTGGGTATATGTTCACACATTGTACAAAACATAATTAGTAGACATATTCTTCCTCTCAAACTGTTGAAATTGTGACTGGATAATAAATGACAATATTAATTTCTGCTCTCCCTGCAATCAGATATTGGAAAAGACACAATGAATTGTAATTATTTTTTCTACCTTTTAGAAAAACATTACAGTATTTTCCCCTTAAGGTTAAGCTGTTTTAAAGTCTATGCGGTGCTAATAATATTTTCCTTCCCCAAATCACTAGATTTTTGAGAAGAGTTATACCAGCTGAAACTTTTCTCAGCTCATTTTTAAAAAAGGGGAAAGGCTGCAAGAAGTGCCGTTAGCAATCCCTCTTGACTGGTTTCTAATGCTCTTGGACCTTCCATGTTTGTGGGGTAGCAGGTATAGTCGGTTTCCGTTAGCCACCACCTCTTGATGTCATACCCTTTGATATAATAATCTGCTGGACTCCAATGTGCTTGCTCTATCAAAGGAGAAATGTCTATGGGTGTCAGAATTGCATGCAGCTACTAGTTGAAGAATTCTACATAGTAGCCAGGGCACACTTCTAGGTGTGATGCTGTAAACTTAAACATGCTGTATTTTTTGCAAGCTTGAGTGGAACAGGAATAGAAGACATTAAATGAATAATATCAGGCGGCAAGAAAGGCATTTGAATTACTCAGGAGAACTAGAAGGTTTCTCACTGCATCAGCTTTGCTGGCAATACAAGTAAAAAGGGCAAGTTTCTCTTCACTTTAAGATTAAAAAAAAATTAAGTAAATTATATGATGCTTTGGCTTCCCTTCCCATGTTAACTTTCATCTGTTTAATATATTGTTTGCCTTTTCCCAAGTGACTCGTGCAGCTACTCTCCATCCAGTTGCTTCCATATGGGGTGCAATCCAATTTCTTCCTTTTCTTGGATCATAGCTCTTTATCATGTCTGCATTCTTAGCTACATGGTGTGTTGATGAAACGGACTATTGGAGATGGAATCTGCGCTAAGATGTGAGTTGGATTCAAGACTAGACTACGATGCACACAAACCTATGTTCTCAAATAGGGCAGGTAATTCATTACCATCTATAAAAGTTGTGTGCCCTCATTCCCTTTCCTGGGAAACTCGTCATTAAAGGGGACCACTCTGTTAAAAAGTTATTATCCCCACCTTCCCTTCCCTAGAGTCAGTTTGAGTCTGAGAGTGATGAAGAAATGCAGAGGAGGCAGAGGGAACAGGGATAGCAGAGTAAGGAGAAACGCTCTGTGAAAGGGAAAGTGTCTTTAATTTTCACATCTCTTCTGTTTTTCTCAATCTTTTCTTCTTGCTATACAAATATATTTATTTTTTCTTAGAAGGATTTTTCACCCCATATGGGCTAGTGCTTAGGATAAGTCTGGTGCAAGAACCTCAGCAAATACATTAATTTATCCAAATAAAAAATGTTTTCAAGCAACTGGACTCTTATTTACTTATTTTAAGAGATTTTAGGTTTTTAAGGGAAAGCTCCGCAGGCGACATTCCTGGCTTCCCATTGTCAAAAAGTGGGACTGAAGTGAGCTTACCTTGGACATGTAGAGGTCTTTAGACTCTCTCTCTCTTTTTTTTTTTTTTTTTTTTTGAATCTGCTGATTTTTCTGTTGGTAAACTCTCTGTTCATGGTCTTCTAACCAAGAAAGAAAGAAAAAATCTTAAAGGGCTTCCAAATTTAAAAAAGGGCTTTACAAATTGCAGTAGCTCTATGACAACCAACAACCTAGACAGCTAAGTGTCATCCCTTTTATTGTAAATTTAGGTTTGCCTGGCTTATCATTGTTTAGGATGATAAAACAGTTAATCAGAGGATTGATGGTCTAAGAAAAAAGAACTAGATAAAGCTTAGAGAAGATGTTCTTTAAGATTAAACAGGTCAAACTCTGGAGCTCAGAGCAATAATATAAAGTATCTTCTTCAGCATAAAAAAATACTTTGTCTAACACACATGGACCAGAAAAAGCTAAAAAACCAAAACAATGGCAAATAATTTTTTCTAAAATGTTTTTCTACCAACATTGACAAGTCAAGTGAACCGGACTGGTAAAGAAAAAGATATATTTGTTACTAAAATTTAATGCCACTTAGAGATTTTGTTTTTCTTATAGAATTTAGCCAATCCTTCCTAAAATGTAAATATTTGAATATTTAACTTTTATAGTCATTTGAAACTGAATAAAGAAAAACAAAGATGAAAGAGGTTTTATAAAATCAAACTGCTATGGAAACTTCTTTGCCCAAAGTTTGGTCCACAGCCTTCATAAGATTGCCTATCAGAACACGTAACAGTCTTAAATCTTAGCCAGTAAACAAGATATTCTTAACTTGTCTAATTTTGTTAGAAACAAAATTTGGTTAAAAATACCATATGGAGATAAACTGATAAGTTTATATTAACTATGTTTTACTGTCTTGTGACCTAAATTTCAACATGAATGCTATAAGATCTTTGTGTATATATGTGTGTGTATATATATGTATGTATGTATATATGTCTGTAGGTGTGTGTGTATGTGTGTATATATATATATACACAGTTGTGTTTACACATATGTACATGTATTATGTTGTATGTCATGTCTATATAATGGAATCTGGTGTAGTTGGCCAGAAATTCCTTAAGGAATTCTATTCAAATTGGTTTAAATAAGTGAGTACACATATAAATTGTTAAGTATGGAGTAAGGCCCAAATATTTTTTAGTTCATGGGACTTAATTAAATCTTTGACAAATAAGCTGATCTTTAAATTTATTGATTAAAAAATAGAAATGCTGCCAGAATTGCAAGCATACATTTTTGCCTGGGTTTACTGGTCAGAGAAAATTATATTTGTCTTTACTAGATGTTTTAAGGTGTCAGTGAAAAGTTTATAAAACTGTAAGTGCCACAAAGTTTATAAAACTATAAGTATCTACAACTATAGTTTTAGATACTTATAGTTTTAGATACTTATAAGTATCTAAACTATAAGTATCTAAAACTATAAGTATAGCCTTAAGCAGAATAATCTGTGTAACTTTGAAAAAGATTAGTTTAATACTGTTGATTTTATGAAAACAGCTGTGTCTTCAGAGTTTTCAGTGAAATACTCATATATTTAAATTTAAGATTCTTACTTGGGCATAAAATGCCTGATATTTATAGGCTATGAAAAATGGTTAACAAGGAAATAGTTTGAAATAATCATGACCTCTGTCTAATATCTCAGTTTTCATAAGTAATTTAGATATAATTATTAAAATAAATAAGTTAGGTAAATGCAAACAGGATAAACATTTATAAATGAACTTCTAATGCAATTTATAATATTAAAATTATGTTAAGTTAAATTGAGTAATAATATTCATTAAATTTTGGGTTATTTCCAAATAAGTCAAAATACTAAATCATTAGGTCTTGAAAACAAAAGTTTATTTCCTTTTGGATTCATAATTATTATAGAATGATAACATATATTTGGGCTTCTTAGTAAATATGTCCTATCCCACATTAAAAATAATTACATGAGGGAGACCGAGGTGGGTGGATCACCTGAGGTCAGCAGTTTGAGACTGGCCAACATGGTGAAACCCTGTCTCTACTAAAAATACAAAAATTAGCTAGGTTTAGTGGCATGAGCCTGTATTCCCAGCTACTAGGGATGCTGAGGCAGGTGAACTGCTTGAATCTAGGAGTCGGAGGTTGCAGTGAGTCAAGATTGCACCACTGCACTCCAGCCTAGGTGATGCAGCAAAACTCTGTCTCAAAAAAAAAAAAAAAAATTATGAGAAAACACATGTTTCTAAAAATTATAAAATATGCTCTTAATATATAAAAGATTTAAATTGATTACCATCTAGGTTTTCACTAGAAATTAAGGGTACAGAGAATTAAAAATTCTAATTAATATATGTAATTCTATATACAAAGTGTACCAGAAAAGTAAGGTTCATTTTTTATTATGAAAGAAGAAATAATTTTGTGTAATGCAGATGCTAAAGATTTTTTTTTCAAAATATGCCTTTAGAAAGGAAATAGAAACAAAACCGAAAGGAACACGTAAGTATGAGAAAGAAAAGTGAAAAAGGTTGTAGGTATGAAGTTATATTTTTGGTAAGGCAGTTAAAAAAAGAAGAGAATTTTTTTTGTGTGAGAATCATATGTAGTCAAAATGATAAAGAAAAAGGGAAAGTACATTTTTATCCTAAAGTAAAACAACTGGTAGTTTAAGAAAAATGAAGTACAGAACGAAACTTAAGGTCTGAGCAACTTGCAGAAGGTCTGAAGAGGTCATTCAAGGACTGTAAGAGATTAATTTATAAAAAAAATTTTGTGAGTAATTGAGTTGGCTAAAATTATGTAATTATTTGTACATCTTTCTAAAAACTGAGCTTAGGTAGACAGGTAACTAAAATTTTGTATCTAGATATGTTGCTAGATAATAGATAAAAACATAAAAATAAAACTAAAATTTTGGTCCCCTAGGTTAGACAGAACAAAGTTTTCTAAAGTATTTATCTGTTCTTAGAAAAAAAAAAAAAGCTATAAGAGGTTTTGTATTTTAATTGTAAAATCTGTTTCTTTAAATTTTCAAACATCTTATCTGAAGTTACGTTTTTTCTGTTTTACAATTCTATTTCTGCCACATTTCTTACTAAGATCCATTTAATTTTTCTAGTTTATGGTTAGAAATGCAGTCTTCATTTAAAATGGTAATTTCATTTCTTGTGGTAGAGTTTTCCTTTCTATGCTTTTGAGGTTCCTGTCTCAGAAGTTCAACTTTTGTTATCTTGTGCCACACATGATTTACAGGTCATTTCTTCCTTTCTCCCTTTGAGAAGGTACATGGTATGATTTGGCTCTGTGTCTCCACCCAAATCTCATCTTATAGCTCCCATAATTCCCACTTGTTGTGTGAGGGACCTGATGGGAGATGACTGAATTATGGGGGTGGGTCTTTCCTGTGCTGTTCTCATGAGAGTGAATAGGTCTCTTGGGATATGATGGTTTCAATAAATGGGAGTTTCTCTGCACAAGCTCTTTTTTTTTTTTGCCTGCTGCCATCCATATAAGATGGAACTTGCTTCTCCTTGCCTTCCGCCATAATTGTGAGCCTTCCTCAACCATGTGGAACTGTAAGTGCAATTACACCTCTTTCTTTTGTAAATTGTCAAGTCTTGGGTATGTCTTTATCAGCAGTGTGAAAATGGACCAATAGAGTAAATTGGTAACAACAGAGTGGGGTGCTGCTGAAAAGATACTCAAAAGTGTGGAAGCAACTTTGGAACTGAGTAACAGGCAGAGGTTGGAAGAGATTGGAGGGCTCAGAAGAAAACAGGAAAATATGGGGAAGTTTGGAACTTCCTAGAGACTTGATTAATGGTTTTGACCAAAAGCCTGATTGCAATATGGACAATAAGGTCCAGGCTGAGGTGGTCTCAGATGGAGATGAAGAATTTGTTGAGAACTGGAGCAAAAGTGACTTTTGTTATGTTTTATCAAAGAGACTGGGGGCATTTTGCCCTTGTCCCAGAGATATTTGGAACTTTGAACTTGAGAGAGATTATTTAGGGTATCTTGTGGAAAAATTTTCTAAGCAGCAAAGCATTCAAGAGATGACTTGGGTGCTGTTAAATGCATTCAGTTTGATAAGGAAAGCAGAGCACGAAAGTTTGGAAAATTTGCCACCTGACAATGTGAAAGAAAAGAAAAACGCATTTCCTGAAAAGAAATTCAAGCCAGCTGCAGAAATTTGCATAATTAATGAGGAGCCTAATTTTAATCACCAAGACAATGGGGAAAATGTCTCCAGGGCATGTCAGAAGTCTCCACAGAATCTCCTTCCATCACAGGCCCAGAGGTATATAAGAAAATGATTTTGTTGGGTGGGCCTGGGGTCCCTGTGCTGTGTGCAGCCTAAAGACTTGGTGCCCTGCCTCCCAGCTGTTCCAGCCATGGGTGAAAGGGGCAACGTAGAGCTTGAGCCATGGATTCAGAGGGTGCAAGCCCCAAGCCTTGACAGCTTCCACACAATGTTGAGCCTGCCTGAGCACAGAAGTCAAGAATTGAGGTTTGGGACCCTCTGCCTAAATTTCAGAGGGTGTATGGAAACACCTGGATGTCCAGGCAGAAGCTTGCTGCAATGGCAGAGCTATTATGGAGAACTTCTGCTAGGGCAGTGCAGAAGGGAAATGTAGGGTCACAGATCCCACACAGAGTCCTTACTGAGGCACTGCCTAGTGGAGCTGGGAAAAGAGAGCCATCATCCTCCAGACCCCAGAATGGTAGATCCACCAACAGCTTGCACTATGCACCTGGAAAAGCCACATACACTCAATGCCAGTTAATGAAAGCAGCTGGGAGGGAGGCTGTATTCTTCAAAGTCACAGGGGTGGAGCTGTCCAAGACCATGGGAAGCCACCTCTTTCATCAACATGACCTGGGTATGAGACCTGAATTCTAAGGAGAATATTTCAGAGCTTTAAGATTTGCCTGCCTCACTAGATTTCAACTTGCATGGGGACTGTAGCCCCTTAGTTTTGGCCAATTTCTCCCATTTGGAATGATTGTATTTATCCAGTGCCTGTACCCTCATTGTATCTAGGAAGTAACTAACCTGCTTTTAATTTTACTGGCTCATAGGCAGAAGGAATTTGCCTTGTCTCAGATAAGACTTTGGACTATGGACTTTTGAGTTATTGCTGAAATGATTTGAGACTTTGTGGGACTACTGGGTGTCAGGCCTCTGAACCCAAGCTAAGCCATCATATCCCCTGTGACCTGCACGTACACATCCAGATGGCTGGTTCCTGCCTTAACTGATGACATTCCACCACAAAAGAAGTGAAAATGGCCTGTTCCTGCCTTAACTGATGACATTGTCTTGTGAAATTCCTTCTCCTGGCTCATCCTGGCTCAAAAGCTCCCCCACTAAGTACCTTGTGACCCCCACTCCTGCCCGCCAGAGAACGACCCCCCTTTTTCCTTTACCTACCCAAATCCTATAAAAAGGCCCCACCTCTATCTCCCTTTGCTGACTCTCTTTTCGGACTCAGCCTGCCTGCACCCAGGTGAAATAAACAGCCATGTTGCTCACACAAAGCCTGTTTTGTGGTCTCTTCACACAGACGCATGTGAAATTTGGTGCTGTGACTCGGATCAGTAGACCTCCCTTGGGAGATCAATCCCCTGTCCTCCTGTTCTTTGCTCCATGAAAAAGATCCACCTACAACCTCTGGTCCTCAGACTAACCAGCCCAAGAAACATCTCACCAATTTCAAATCCGGTAAGCGGCCTCTTTACTCTCTTCTCCAACCTCCCTCACTATCCCTCAACTTCTTTCTCCTTTCAATCTTGGCGCCACACTTCAATCTCTCCCTTCTATTAATTTCAATTCCTTTCATTTTCTGGTAGAGACAAAGGAGACACATTTTACCCGTGGACCCAAAACTCCAGCTCCAGTCACGGATTAGGGAAGGCAGCCTTCCCTTGGTGTTTAATCATTGCAGGGACGCCTCTCTGATTGTTCACCCAGGTTTCAGAGGTGTCAGACCACGCAGGGATGCCTGCCTTGGTCCTTCACCCTTAGTGGCAAGTCCCGCTTTCTGGGGGAGGGGCAAGTACCCCAAACCCTTCTCTCTGTGTCTCTACCCCTTCTCTGCCTTTCTGGGGGGCAAGAAATCTCCAACCCCTTCTCCTTCACTCTTAGCAGCAAGTCCCACTTTCCTAGGGGAGGGACAAGTACCCCAACCTTGTATCTCTGTGCCCCAATCCCTTATTTCTGTGCCCCGATCCCTTATTTCCGCACCGCAACCACTTATATCTCTGCACCCTGATCCCTTATTTCCACACCCCGACCTCGTATCTCTGTGCCCCGACCCCTTTCCCACTTTTCTGGAGGGTAGGAACCCATGAACCGCTTCCCTCCATGTCTCTACTCTCCCTTATCTTTAAACTTGCCTCCTTCACTATAGGCAACCTTCCACCCTCCACTCCTCCTTCTTCTCCCTTAGCCTGTGTTCTCAAAAACTTAAAACCTCTTCAACTCACACCTGACCTAAAATGTAAATGCCTTATTTTCTTCTGCAATGCCGCTTGACCCGAATACAAACTCGACAGTAGTTCCAAATAGCCAGAAAACGGCACTTTCAATTTTTCTATCCTGCAAGATCTAAATCATTCTTGTCGTAAAATAGGCAAACGGTCTGAGGTGCCTGATGTCCAAGCATTCTTTTACACATCGGTCCCTTCCTAGTCTCTGTGCCCAATGCAACTCGTCCCAAATCTTCCTTCTTTCCCTCCCGCCTGTCCCCTCAGTCCCAACCACAAGCGTCACTGAGTCTTTCTAATATTCCTTTTCCACAGACCAATCTGTCCTCTCCCTTCCTCCCCAGGCTGCTCCTCACCAGGTGGAGCTAGGTCCCAATTCTTCCTCAGCCTCTGCTCCTCCACCCTATAATCTTTTTATCACCTCCCCTCCTCACACCCGGCCCGGTTTACAGTTTCATTCCGTAAGTAGCCCTCCCCCACCTGCCCAGCAGTTTCTTCTTAAAAAGGTGGCTGAAGCTAAAGGCATAGTCAAGGTTAATGCTCCTTTTTCTTTATCCGACCTTTCCCAAATCAGTTAGCGTTTAGACTCTTTTTCATCAAATATAAAAAACCCAGCCCAGTTCATGGCTTTTTCAGCAGCAACCCTGAGATGCTTTACAGCCCTAGACCCTAAAAGGTCAAAAGGCCGTCTTATTCTCAATATACATTTTATTACCCAATCTGCTCCCGACATTAAATAAAACTCCAAAAATTAAATTCCAGCCCTCAAACCCCACAATAGGATTTAATTAACCTCACCTTCAAGGTGTACAATAATAGAAAAAAGTTGCAATTCTTTGCCTCCACTGTGAGACAAACCCCAGCCACATCTCCAGCACACAAGAACTTCCAGACGCCTAAACCTCAGTGGCCAGGAGTTCCTCCAGAACCACCTTCCCCAGGAGCTTGCTACAAGTGCCAGAAATCTGGCCACCAGGCCGAGGAATGCCTGCAGCCTGGGATTCCTCCTAAGCCATGTCCCATCTGTGTGGAGCCCCACTGGAAATCGGACTGTTCAACTCACCTGGCAGCCACTCCCAGAGCCCCTGGAACTCTGGCTCAAGGCTCTCTGACTGACTCTTTCCCAGATCTTCTCCGCCTAGCAGCTGAAGACTGACACTGCCCGATCACCTCGGAAGCCTACAGGACCATCACAGACGCTCTAACTCTCACAGTAGAAGCTAAGTCTGTTCCCTTCTTAATCAATACGGAGGCTACCCACTCCACATTACCTTCTTTTCAAGGGCCTGTTTCC